>NC_000004.12:81194108-81345623 GCF_000001405.40 Homo sapiens | reverse complement strand
GACTGCGGGAAGGGGCAAAGCCTCTTCAACTCATTTTGGCGGTAGCCATCAGAGGGGCATATCCGTGTCCTGCAGTCACACTGTGGTCAGGAATCAAAGGTCACAGTCTTTATGAATTGAAGTTCATAAGTCCTCTGACAGGAGCATGATAGGGAAGTGGGTTGCATTCCTGCCTGCTCTGGATGAGGAGCTGGTGAATCCCTCCTGCTCCTTCCTCCAAGACCTTGGCACACCTCAACACAATCTCTTCCTACCCCACTACCCTGCATCAGAGAAGGTGTATTCTTTTTTATTTAATTATTTTTATTTTTTTATTTTTTATTTTTTTTATTATACTTTAAGTTCTAGGGTACATGTGCACAACATGCAGGTTTGTTACATACGTATACATGTGCCATGTTGGTGTGCTGCACTCATTAACTCGTCATTTACATTAGGTATTTCTCCTAATCGTATCCCTCCCCCCTACCCCCACCCCATGACAGGCCCCACTGTGTGATGTTCCCCACCCTGTGTCCATGTGTTCTTATTGTTCAATTCCCACCTATGAGTGAGAACATGGGGTGTTTGGTTTTCTGTCCTTGTGATAGTTTGCTCAGAATGATGGTTTCGAGCTTCATCCATGTCCCTACAAAGGACATGAACTCATCCTTCTTTATGGCTGCATAGTATTCCATAGTGTATATGTGTCACATTTTCTTAATCCAGTCTATCATTGATGGACATTTGGGTTGGTTCCAAGTCTTTGCTATTGTGAATAGTGCCGCAGTAAACATACATGTGCATGTGTCTTTATAGCAGCATGATTTATAATCCTTTGGGTACATACCCAGTAATGGGATGGCTGGATCAAATGGTATTTCTAGTTCTAGATCCTTGAGGAATTGCCACACTGTCTTCCACAATGGTTGAACTAGTTTATGGTCCCACCAACAGTGTAAAAGTGTTCCTATTTCTCCACATCCTCTCCAGCACCTGTTGTTTCCTGACTTTTTACTGATTGCCATTCTAACTGGTGTGAGATGTTATCTCGTTGTGGTTTTGATTTGCATTTCTCTGATGGCCAGTGATGATGAGCATTTTTTCATATGTCTGTTGGCTGCATAAATGTCTTCTTTTGAGAAGTGTCTGCTCATATCCTTTTCCCACTTTTTGAGGGGGTTGTTTGATTTTTTCTTGTAAGTTTGTTTAAGTTCTTTGTAGATTCTGGATGTTAGCCCTTTGTCAGATGGGTAGATTGTAAAAATTTTCTCCCATTCTGTAGGTTGCCTGTTCACTCTGATGGTAGTTTCTTTTGCTGTGCAGAAGCTCTTTAGTTTAATTAGATCCTATTTGTCAATTTTGGCTTTTGTTGCCATTGCTTTTGGTGTTTTAGACATGAAGTCCTTACTCATGCCTATGTCCTGAATGGTATTGCCTAAGTTTTCTTCTAGGGTTTTTATGGTTTTAGGTCTAACATTTAAGCATCATGCTACCTGACTTCAAACTATACTACAAGGTTACAGTAACCAAAACATCATGGTACTGGTACCAAATCAGAGATATAGACAATGGAACACAATAGAGCCCTCAGATATAATAGCACAGAACTACAACCATCTGATCTTTGACAAACCTGACAAAAACAAGAAATGGGGAAAGGATTCCCTATTTAATGAATGGTGCTGGGAAAACTGGCTAGCCTTATGTAGAAAGCTGAAACTGGATCCCTTCCTTACACCTTATATAAAAATTAATTCAAGATGGATCAGAGCAGGCTGTTTTCAATCTTCATCAGCCCACCTGAGGATGAGCTGGCTTTTACTCTTAAGCACCTCCAATGTGGCTGCGGGCCATGGATATTGCTTCAGTTCAATAAGCCTGAACTGCACTACCAAATAAAAATCCTGCTGTCAGAAGGGCTTAGTGCTAGTCCAGAGATAAGCTTCTTGAATCCTCCACACCCTCAGCCCTGCGGGAGATAGTGTGTAAGCTCATACAATACATAACTACAACAAACAGCATCTGAGAAAGCACACAGAAGCTATCCACAACCGAGGAACCCAAACAGAGCCTTAGGCCTCTGAAAGTACCCACAAACAAAGCCAAATAATCATACACAACATACTCCATGGTCATACCCTCAAGGAAAAAAAGAATAAAAAAATTTAGAAGTCTCATCCAAATGATTGCAAATTCAAAAATAAGAAGGAGCAGCTCCCTCAGATGGAAAGAATCAGTGCAAGAACTCCGACAATACAAAAAGCCAGAGTGTCTTGACACCTAGGATTGCACTATCTCTCTAGCAATGAATCTTAATTAAATTGAAAGTCTAGAATGACAAAGAATTCAAAATATGGATTTCAAAGTAACTGAATGAGATCCAAGAGAAAGTTGAAATTCAACACACACAAAAAAAACAGAAAAATGACTCAGCACATGAAAGATGAGACAGTTATATTAAGAAAAAATGAAATAAACCATCTGGAATTGAAAAATTTACTACAGGAATTTCAAAATACAATTGGAAGCTTTAAACAATAGACTAGATAAAGACTAGAAGGAACAATTTAAGAGCTTGAAGACCAGTCTTTTGCATTAACAAAAACAAAAAGACTGAGAAAATGAACAAAGCCCTCAAGAAATAGGGGATTACGTAAAGTGACCAAACCTACACTTTACTGACATTTTTGAGAGAGAAGATGAAAAAGTAAGAAATGTGGATTATGTAATCAAAGGAATACTTCAGGAAAATGTCCCTAATCTTGCTAGATTGATCAACATTCAGATACGAGAAATTCAGAAAATACCTGCAAGATGCTATAAAAGACAACCATTCCCAAGCATATAGTCATCTGACTGTCCAAGGTCAATGTAAAAGAAAAAATCTTAAAGGCCACTGAAGAAAAGGATCACATTACCTGTAAAGGAAATCCCATCAGACTGACAATAGAATTCTCAGCAGAAACCTTACAAACCAGAAGAGATTGGGGGCCTAATTTTAGCCTTTGTAAAGAAAAAAAAATGCCAGCCAAAAATTTCATATCCTGCTAAACTAAGTTTCATAAATGAAGGAGAAATAAAGTATTTATCAGGCAAACAAATGCTAAGGGAATTAATCATCACCAGACTAGGCCTACAAGAGATGCTCAAAGAAGTTCGAAACATGGAAACAAAAGAACTATACTTGGTATCATAAAAGCACACATAAGTACAAAGCTAACAGATCCTATAAAGCAATTACACAATTCAGACTACAAAGAAACTAGGTAACAAAAATATGACAGGAACAAAACCTCACATATCAATATTAACCTTAAACATAAGTGGCCTAAATGCTTAAAAGTGGCAAGTGGGATAAAACAACAACAGCAACAACAAGGTCCAACCTTCTGCTGCCTTCAAGAGATACATCTCCATGTGTAATAACACCCATGGGCTCAAAGTAAAGGGATGGAGAAATATCTATCACGCAAACAAAAACAAAAAAGAGCAGGAGTTGCTATTCTTGTATCAGATAAAACATACTCCAAAGCAACAACAGTAAAAAGAAGGCCATTATATAATGATAAAGGGTTCAATTCAACAGGATTTTACTATCCTCAACATATATGCACCCAACATTGGAGCATCCAGATTCATAAAACAAATGCTGCTAGACCTCAGAAAAGAGATAGACAGCCATACAATAATAGTGGGAGACATCAACATACCACTGATAGCACTAGATAGATCATCAAGGCAGAAAACTAACAAAGAAACTCTGTACTTAAATTGAACTCTTAACCGAGTAGTCCTAATAGACATATACAGAATACACCACCCAACAACCACAGCATACACATTTTTTTCTCATCTGAGCATGGGACATTCTCCAAAATTAACTACATGCTCAGTCATAAAACAAGTCTCAATAAATTTAAAAAATCAAAATCATGTCAAGCATTTTCTCAGACCACAGTAGAATACAATCAGAAATCAATAGGAAGAGGAACTCTCAAAACCACACAAGTATGTGTAAAATAAGCAAATTGCTCCTGAATGACTTTTGGGTAAATAACAAAATTAAGGCAGAAGTCAACAAAAATGAAACTAATGAAAATAGAGACACAACATACCAAAACCTCTGGGATACAGCAAAAGCCATGCTAAAAAGGAAGTTTATAATGCTAAATGCCTACCTAAAAAAGATAGAAAAATCTCAAATTAACAACCTAATGTCACACCTAAAGGAACTAGAAAAATAAGAACAAACCAAACCCAAAGCTAGCAGAAGAAAAGAAATAAAAAAGGCCAGAGAAGAACCAAATGAAATTGAGATTAAAAAAACCCACACAAAATGAAAAGTTGGTTTTTGAAAGAACAAACAAAATGGGTAGATCACCAGCTAGATTAACAGAAAAAAGAAAGGAGATTCAAATAAGCATAATCAGAAATGACAAAGTATAATGAGGTGACATTAGGACTGATACCACAGAAATACAAAAAAATCCTCAGAGACTGTTATGAACATCTCTATGCATACAAACTAGAAAACCTAGAGGAAATGGATAAGTTCCTGGAAATACACAACCTCCCAAGATTGAAGTAGAAAGAAATTGAAATCTAGAGCAGATCAACAGCAAGTTATGGAATTGAATCAGTAATGAAAAAAATCTTCCCACCAAAAAACTACAAAAAGCCCTGGACCAGATGGATTTGCAGCCACACTCCACCAGATGTACAAAAAAGGGCTGGTACCAATCTTACTGAAACCATTCCAAAAAAATCAAAGAGGAGGGCTTCCTCCCTAACTCATTCTACAAAACCAGTATCATACTGATACCAAAATCTGGCAAGGACACAACAACAAAAGAAAACTACAGGCCAATATTCCTGATGAATATAGATGCAAAAATCCTCAACAAAATACTAGCAAAACAAATTCAGCAGCACATCAAAGGGATAATTCATCATGATCAAGTGGGTTTTATTCCTGAGATGCAAGGATGGTTGAACAAATGCAAATCAATAAATGTGATTCACCATATAAACAGAATTAAAAACAAAAACCGTATGATCATCTCAATAGAGGCAGAAAAAGCACTTGTTAAAATCCAACATCCCTTCATGATAAAAATTTTCAACAAAATGAAATCATATCCTCTGCAGCAACATGAATGCAGCTGGAGGCCATTATCATAAGCAAATTAATGCAGAAACAGAAAACCAAATACCACTTGTTCTCACTTATAAGTAAGACCTAAATATTGGGTACTCATGGAGATAAAGATGGCAACCATAGACACTGGGGACTACTGGAAGGGGGAGAGTGGGGAGGGGGCAAGAGTTGAAAAACTGTTGTGTACCATGCTCAGTACCTGGGTGACAGGATCATTTGTACCCGAAACCTCAGCATCATGCAATACACCCAGGTAACAAACCTGCACATGTACTCCCTGAATTTACAATAAAAGTAGAAAACAAATCTTCAACAAACTAGGCCTTGAAGGAACATACCTCAAAATAGTAAGAGCTATATGTGACAGTCTCAGACAACATCATTCTGAATGAGCAAAAGTTGAAAGCATCCCCCTAAGAACTGGAAAAAGACAGGGATGTCCACTGTTACCACTTCTATTCAACATAGTACTGGAAGTGCTAGCCAGAGCCATCAGGCATGAGAAAGAAATAAAAGGTATCCAAATAGGAAAAGAGGAAATCAAATTATCTGTCTTCACTGAAGACATAATCCTATACCTAGAAAACTGTAAAGATTCCTCCAAAAGACTCCCAGACCTGATAAATGACTTCAGTAAAGTTTCCGGATACAAAGTCAACATACAAAAGTCAGTAACATTTCTATGTACCAATAATGGTCAAGCTGAGAAACAAATCAGGAACTAATCCTATTTACAATAGCCACACACACACAAAAAAACTACCAAGCAATACATTTAACCAAGAAGGTGAAAGATCTCTGCAAGGAGATCTTCAAAACACTGATGAAAGAAATAATAGATGAACAAGCTAATGGAGAAACATTCTGTGGTCATGGATCGAAAGAATCAGTATCATTAAAATGACCATACTCTGCAAAGCCATCTACAGATTCAATGCTAATCCTATCAAATTACCAACATAATGTTTTACAGAATAAGAAAAAAAAATAAAACTCATATGAACCAAAAAAGAGCCCAACTAGTCAAAGTAATCTTAAGCAAAAAGAACAAAGCCAAAGGCATTATGTTATCCAATTCCAAACTATACTACAAGTCTATAGTAACCAAAACAATATGGTGCTGGTATTAAAAACAGACACATAGATCAATGAAGCAGAATGGAGAACTCAGAAATAAAGCCACACATCTACAAACAACTGATCTTTGACAAAGTCAACAAAAATAAACTATGGGTAAAGGACATCCTATTCAGTAAATGGTGCTGGGAATACTGACTAGCCATATGCAGAAGAATGAAACTGGACCCTATCTCTTAGCATGTACAAGAATTAGCTCAAGATAGATTAAGACTTAAATGGAAGACTGAAACTATAAAAGTCCTGGAAAAGGCATAGGAAAAATTCTTCTGGACATTGGCCTCCACAAAGAATTTATGACTTAAGACCTTAAAAGCAAATGCAACAAAAACAAGAACAGACAAATGTGACTTAATTAAATTATAAAGCCTCCACACAGCCAAAGAACTATCAATAAACAACCTATAGAACTGGAGAAAATTTTTGCAATCTACCCATCTGACAAAGGTCTACTATCCAGCATTTATACAGAACTTAAATTTATAAGAAAAACACAACCCAGTTAGAAAGTGGGCAAAGGACATGAACAGATACTTTTCAAAAGAAGACATACAGATGGCCACAAGCATATGAAAAAATGCTCAACATCACTGATCATTAGAGAAATGCAAATCAAAATTACAGTGAGGTACCATCTCACACCAGTCAGAATGGTTACTATGTAAAAGTAAACAGCAACAACAACAACAACAACAACAACAAACACATGCTGGCGAGGTTGCAGAGAAAAAGGAACGCTTGCTAATACATTGTTGTTGGGAGTGTAAATCAGTTCAACCATTGTGGAAGACAGTGGCAATTCCTCAAAGACCTAAAAACAGAACTGCCATTTGACCCAGCATACCATCACTGGGAATATACCCAAGGGAATATAAATTGTTCTGTTATAAAGACGCATGCATGCATATGTTCACCGCAGCACTATTCACAATAGCAAAGACATAGTATCAATCTTAATGCCCATCAATGGTAGACTGGAAAAAGAAAATGTGGTACATATACAAAATGGAATAATATGGTGCCATAAATAATAACAAGATCAAGATCATGTCCTTTGTAGGAACAGGGATGGAACTGTAGGCCATTATCCTTAGCAAACTAATGCAGGAACAGAAAACCAAATATTGCATTGTATTACTCCATTCTCATGCTGCTATAAAGAAATACCCGAGACTGGGTAATTTATAAAGAAAAGAGGTTTAATTGACTCATAGTTCTGCATGGCTTGGGAGGGCTCAGGAAACTTGCAATCATGGCAGAAGGCACCCCTTCAAAAGGGCAGCAGGAGAGAGAATGAGTGCAAGCGGGGGGAATGCCAGATGCTTATAAAACCATCAGATCTCATGAGACTCATTATCATGAGAACAGCCTGAGGGGAGAAACTGCCCCCATGATCCAATTACATGCCCTTGGCATGTGGGGATTATTACAATTCAAGGTGAGATTTGGGTGGGGACACAGAGCCAAACCATATCATGCATGTTCTCACTTATAAGTGGGAGCTAAATGATAAGAACATGTGGACACATAAAGGGGAACAACACACACTGGGGCCTATAGGAGGGTGAAGGGTTGCAGTAGTAAGAGTATCAGAAAAACTAACTAATTGGACTAGGCTTAATACTTGGTGACAAAATAATCTGTACAACAAACCCCCATGACACAAGTTTACCTATACAACAAATCTGCACATGTACCCTGGAACTTAAAGGTTAAGTTAAAAACAAAGAGGACAAACATGCAGCCAACAAACATATGAAAAAATATTCAATGTCACTAATCATCAGAGAAATGCAAATTAAAACCACAATGAGATACTATCTCACACCAATCAGAATGGCTATTATTAAAAAGTAAAAAAAAACAACAGATGATGGCAAGTTTGCAGAGAAAAGGGAATGCTTTACACTGTTGGTAGGAATGCAAATTAGTTCCAACTATGTGGCAAACAGTCTGGAGATTTCTCAAAGAACTAAAAGCAGAACTACCATTCAACCCAGCAATCCCTCTATTGGATATCTACCCGAAGGAAAAGAAACCATTTAATCAAAAAGACAGCTTGCATTTTTATGTTTATTGCAGCTATTCACAATAGCAAAGTCATGGAATCAACCTAAGTGTCAATCAAGAGTAGACTGGATAAAGAAAATGTGGTGTTTAATTTTTTTTAAAATGTGATGTTTAATGTTTAAAAGAAAATGTGGTATTAATATATACCATGGACTACCATACAACCATAAAAAAGAATGAAATCATGTCTTTTGCAGTAACATAGATGTAGGTGGAGGCCATTATCTTAAGTGAAATAACTCAGAAACAGAAAATAAAATATCATGCATTCTGCCTTAGAAGTGGGAGCTGAACAATGGGTACTCTTGGACATTAAGATTGCAACAGTAGACACTGAGGACTCCAAAAGTGGGAGGTTAAGAGGGGGGCGAGGTTAAAAGTCTACCTATTGGGTGCTATGTTCACTACTTGGGTGATAGGTTCACTACAAGTCCAAACCCCATCATTATGCAATATACTCGTGTAACAAACATATGCATGTATCCCCTGAACCTATAATTTAAAAAAATAATAAGAAAAAGAGAAAATAATGTGATCAGTGGTTATATGCAGGGAAAAAAGTATTTTAATATGAGGTCTCAATCAATAATATGGAGAGCATGAATCTCAGTCTACACATTCAGATATATAGAAGAAATAATTTTTTAAATTTTGACAAGGTAACATAATTTTTTTTTTCCTCATTCCATTTTTCTGCAATGCTGAGGCACTGGGAGTTTCTGATCTTGGCTACCGTTTATTCACCCCGTGGCAACTACTGACATTTCCTTGGTCCCATGTCCACTGATGGATCACTGCTTAGGGTTTCTAGTCCCTGACTCCAAGAACAAGGCTCTTTGAAGTCCAGCTTTCTGAGCTGCTTCTGTCCCTGGTCAGCACAACAGGACAACATGCTGGTGCAGGGCAGTCCATGGGCTGCCCAAGGCCCAGTGGTCACACTTTGCAGTTGTTTCTACTCCGCATCATGCTGCCTTCTTGGGGTCTCAAGTGGAAGAGTGAAGTGGGTAAATGAGTGAAGTGTACCAGTTGTAAGATAAAAGGTGCTGTCGCTATTTAGCTCTATCTAATTGTTGCCATAAAGGAATTTGGGTTCAGGGTGCCAGATAGTCTGATATTTCAAGAAAATCCTGAAGTGGTCATTGTTATGTGGTATCTCCTGATATTAACTGCATATAACAAAGACAAAATTTTAAAATATATTAAGGTGAAATGAAACATATCTGTCGGCCAGCTTTACAGCCTGCCAGTTTGTAAGCTCTGACTTAGTTAATTTTATGTGTGTGTGGGTTGAGGGGGAGGGGATATAAAGAGCAAAGCAGAACAAAGAATAAAAAGAAATATTGGAAACAAAGCTCGATCCAGGAGTTTTTCAAAAATATTATCCCAGTGAAAAAGAGGGAATAAAGGATAATGTAAAACTTAAAAAGACATTTTTCAATCTAGCTTCAAATGAGGGCAGTTTCTATGTGTCAAATCATCAGCCAGTTAATAAATAGTGCCTTGCCTAGAATTCAGAGCCCAGAGCCCAGGACGACCTAGGGTATTACAATTGAAAAGGAGATGGGAATGGAAAGAGAGCTCAATAGGAGAGGGCCATGAGGCTCCGAGAAGTCAGTTTACAGAGATGCAAGCAAGCAGGCTTTCTTCTCTGTCTGATGGCAATTTTGAATGTTAGGTTTATCTTCTGACTGCAAAGGAAGAGCAATTGAAATTCACAAGCATTTCTTTACTTATTTTGAATATGATACCATTCAGAGAGTAATCACGAACCCTCCCACTCAGACATAATCACTGCTCTCTGAGTTTAGCTCCTAAAATGTTAATTAAAACAATATGTTAAACTTAGGGTCTAAAAAATGAGCAAGGGACCGAGGAATGCAAAGCTTGCTAAATGAATATAGGTCACTGGGGAGCCAATGAAGAAGGAGATTTCTACACAGCTGTCCCTTGTGCTGTCAGTCAGCCTTCTAGAGCAATGCTAGAAAGGGCCAGATTCAAGATCATATACACTTTAGGAGATAGGCCAGGGAGTTGGTCTGAAGTTCTCCATACTATGAGATCTACATTTCCTTTTGCATGGCATGCAAGAGGGCATTTGGGGAATGCACAAGAGTGAAGAAGTATTTATAGTTAAGGCTCTTGTTGAAGGCGAGAAAAACAAAACAAAGCAAAAAACCACCTCTAACAGATCTAAAGCAAGAGTAGAAATATTTGCTCACATAACTGTCAAGGATAGGATTGTTGTAGCTCTCTCCAGGGTCTCAAATGATCTTATCAGGACTTAGTTACTCTTCTCTCTTGACCCTAACTAGACACCAGCCCAGAAGTTCCAGGTTAACACTGAAGTTTCAGGTTCAAATTCAATGGAAAAGAGAGCATCACATCCCAGTGGTTCAAAACTAAGCTCCAAAATTAGCTCTGATTGCACCAAAACAAATTACATGCCAACTCTTGATTCAATCCTGTGACTAAGGGAATATTGGCACTTTGACTGGCTGGGACTAGGTCAGGCCACACAATTCAACGTTGGAACTTTTCTACATTTTTTTTTAAATCCTACCAGTTCTTTTTCTCTTTATACTTTAATTTGAGTCCTTTGCATTGATCTGTCTTTCAGTTAATGGAAATTGTGTCCCATCTGCTGTTAAACCAATCTGTTACATTCTTACTTTCATATATTACATTGTAAAATTTTAGAATGTCCATTTGATTATTTTGTTACAGATTCACCCCTGACATGTACAAGCATTTTCAAAGAAGCATTATTCAGAATAGATAAAACTGGAACCTAAATACTTTTTAAAAATTATTATGTTAATAATCTTAATTATTCTTTTATATATAAAATAATATATAGAGACCCTTGCCAAAATAAGGCCTCAAAAATTGATTTAAGACTCAGAGTTGTTCCTCTTCATGAAAATCATTAGTAAAAGGAGAAAAATTTATCTGATCTGAAAAGAAACTGGAGAATCAAAATAGTTTCTATAAAAAGTAGAATAGATAAATTATCTGTTATATTCATAGAATGAGATACCATATAGTAATGAAAATGAATGCACTATAACTATATCCAACATCATGGATGAAAGTTAAAAACTTAAGACACAGCAGTCAAGTTATTCACTGTGTGGCAACTACTGACATTTCCTTGGTCCTATGTCCACTAACGGATCACTGCTTAGGGTTTCTAGTCCCTGACTGCAAGAACAAAGCTCTTTGAAGTCCAGCATTCTGAGCTGCTTCTGTCCCTGGTGAGAACAACAGGACAACACGCTGGTGCAGGGCAGTCCATGGACTGCCCAAGGCCCAGTGGTCATACTTTGCAGCTGTTGCTACTCTGCATCATGCTGCCTTCTTGGGGCCCCAAGTAGAAGAGTGAAGTGGAATCATAAAATAATGTGTGATTACATTTATGTGAAGTTCAAAAACAGACTAAAATAGCTAGGGACCAATATTAAGTTAGCAAAAATATAAAAAAAGCAAGGAAACAATTATGAATAAAGCCAGCATATATACTTTTGGATAGCTATAGTATATTTTGCAATAAAGAAAGTATAAAATAAAGGAAAGAGGTAATCATGGGTTTTGGCAAACCCATGAGAACATAAGCAGTTTACTTCTGCCTTTTACCTCTATAGTGTCTTCTGTTGCCTCTTTTCAGCACTATCACAAACTTTCCACAGTGATGTTCTCTCTTTGTGGCCTGAACTCTCCACTTCTGTCCTAGAAAAGTGGTAAGTAATGGTATCTCCTGCAGCCCTCTGTCACTGGACAGAAAAGTCAGTGTGTACTCTAGAAAGAGTTACTCACATGTTTCTATAATCAGTATGATAGATAGGTTCCAGGAGCAAATATGAGATAAACCACAGCTGCAAGGAAGTTGGAAATAAGACAAATGAGATTGTGCCCTGGGAGTCACACTATAAAATCGGATAATGAATTTAAACAGATTTGTAAATTCCCGCTAAATAATAGGTAAGTTTTTTTAGTATTTACAATGGCTAATTTGTGAAAAATATTACATATGTAATCCTTATGACAATTTTGCAAATTAAATGAGGTTATATTCTTAATATTGCAATGGAGGAAACTGATGTTTAGGACATTTTCAATGAAGTCCTCAAGGTCACACGGCCAGAAAGTGGCAGAACTGAGATCGTCTAGCTCTCAAGCCCTTGTCCTGAACTCTCACATTATAATATCCTTATGAAAGAGGTGCAGTGGCTCCCAGGCCTGAGCAAGACTGGAGAATTTCATCATCCATGATATAATTTAGCAACAGAAGTGTGGCACATCAGAGTGACTTGGGAGGGCCAATCTGGGCATACTTCAGGAAGAGAAGGTCCTGCCAATCGACTGTTTCTCATGATCCTTTAGGTTTAAGGATATTTCTACAGTGAGGTCAGATAGATCAGGCTTTCTTAGCCTCATGATACTAGACATTTTAATTAGGCAGATAATCTCTTGTCCTCTGAATTCTTGTTTAGCAAGCAGCTTTCTGATTATAAGCTGACTTTCCAAGAAGAACACATTAGAATTTGGAGTCTGTGTCAATGTGAATATCCTCGTGTGTGAGAGAGCTTTTATTTATCATTGTCTACAAATGTATTGGCATTCTTATTTGCACAAAAGTTTTGTGAGCTATGTAAATGTGAATTTTCTCATTAGAGGTTGGATTCTGAAAGCTGGATCTACAAAAATCTGATTTCTGAGTCTGGAAGACTGAAGACCAATCTCTGAATATTGGCAAATTCATTAAAGTAAAGTTATTATGTAAAACCTTTTGCACAATAAGCCATTGACCCTTTTGTATTCAGACTTTAAACCTGATGTGGGGTTTAACTTTTCTACTTAACTTCCATAAGTGTATCAGTTCACTTTATCTGGTGACTGTCACACTATAAAGCAGAATAAACCATGAAGCCATTAAATTTCAGTAAAGTGATATGGTAGGGAGAGGTTTAGAGGAGTGCTATAGACTGAATTGTTTTCTACCCCAAATTCCCATGGTAAAGCTCTAACCTCCAACTTGATGATATTTAGAGGTGGAACATTTTGGGAGGTAATAGGTTATGAGGAAGTCATGAGTCTTGATGAGATTAGTGACCTTATAAGAAGAGACATCAGAGAGAGCTTGCTTCCGTTCTCTATGTATGCGCAAAGAGGTCACAAGACCACACTGGGAGATGGTGGACATAGAGAAGCAAGGACATCTATAATGCCCTCACTAGAACTTGACCATGCTGACACCCGATCATGGGTTTCTAGCCTCAACAACTGTGAGAAAATAAATTTCTGTGGTTTAAGCCACCCAGGCTATAATATTTTGTTATGGCAGCCCTAGCAGACTAATATAAGGGGTCAATAGAAGAAAAGGAGGCAATATTCCTTTGAGTGACTGAGATGCTATGGCAGGGGTAGGACAGGCTCAAGAAACCTGAAAGGCCAGCCCAGGAACATAAAGAACCCAGAGAACATCATCTTAAAAAGAAGAAATTTGAAAAACTCCCTTTGCTTCATTTAGGACTGTCTTATATTTGGTATTCTGCACCAGGCCTCTCCTCTTAGATTTTTCTGTTTTCTGCATCTGTTTTATTCAGTGGAAGAGTTGCACTAGTGTCATCAACACTCAGAGCACTTTTAGAAAGTAAAAAATTTGACTCACTAAAAATGCTTCATTACATAGTATTCCTTTCACAGATCATTCTTTCCTTTCTGGAAAAGAATCAGGTTATAAAACCCAGGGAATGCAGTTACCAGGACTTTTAAATGGTGTTTGATTTTTTAAAAGCCTAAGCATCCGACCATGGTTTTTCCAAGTCAAACAGCAGTTTTAAAACTAAGAGGCTTTGAAGTCAGAGGTCTGTAATGCTGTGAGCTACTCTCTCTCCTGAAATAGTAGGTGAGATCAGATGAGAAAATTCATACAGATACTGTTTGTGTTTCTCCACATAGAAGGTCATTTCTTAAGCGTCTGCCCTATAAACCTTACTTAGGTTCTATAATGCATTGAGACATTTTTTTGAAATATGTAAGAAAAAATTTCAGTGGGCTGAGAAAAACTTATGTAACCACACTGTTATTACTTTTAAACATGAAAAATGTCATTTTCCCTTTACTTTTCAAATAATGAACAGAAAGACCCAGGTTTTCTGAAGGTTACCTAGCAAGCCAAGACCAATACTGATTTTAAGCTCACAAAGATAGAGGCCTCTTTAAAGAATGCAAAGGCCCCAATAATAATAGCTATCTTTTATGTTGTACCTACAACATACCAATTACTTTGCTTGCTGTCTTGCTTTATTTTTCATGGTTGCAGGACACCCTCAATGAGATATTTATAATGGATAAAGAAAGTGAATTTCAGAGTGGTTAAGTAACTGGACCAAGACACATTACTCATAAGAGGCTGTGTCAGAATATCAAACCAACTCTCTGATTCTGAAATCCACCTTCTCTCCACTATGCCATGTGAGATCAATAATAATATCTTTATTTCTGGACACACTCAGTAAATCTGTTAATAACTACATTTTAATTTTAGAATAGTAGAGAACTTTCAGTGAGAGTAACAATGGTCCAATGACTTGAATGTTTTTTATAACCATAGACATTTTTTTTTTTCCAAGCAAAGCTGATTTTTTAAAACAGTAGTATGTGTTTGCCAGGAAGGCAGAAAAGCTAGAGTCATTGAGGACTGTGTTTTACCAGAAGGTTCTAATCATTCCATGGTAACCAAGCATTAAGGTATTGACCTGCATAACTAACAGTGATCATAATAATTCAAACTTGTAGAGTACTTTTCAAGTTGGAGATAAGTTGTTTGGAAGAAGACAAGACAACTGGATCAGAAAAGAAGCCACACCATATAGTGAGATTAGCTTTCTCTGGGAAATGCTTAGATCAAAGTTTCTATAGAGACCGTAAGGAATTCTATGTCACAAATTGTCACCAGGAAAGCAGTCTACTGAAAAATGCAATAAATACAAAAGGAGTTGGAAATTGGGAATTGGCTTGTTATAACAATGTGTCAAATGAAGAGTGCTGAAGTGGAGGTAGTTATACATAATCAGAGTGGGAGGAATATTACCTGGAAAAATAGAGGTGTAAGGGTGGATTTATGAGCAGTCTACTGCATTAAAGAAAGAAGGATGTTTGGTCTGTTTGACAGATTTATCCCCACAGGGGAGGAAAGTGATCCATTAGTTTGCTTTATCTTCATAATGCTCCCAGGATAATCCAGCTCCTTGGCCCTGATTTTACACTGTCTAAGCAACCTTCTGATGGTAATTGGGTTTCCCAAATAGATTTCTTTCCTTGGAAGGAACTGAGTAGAGAGACTGACATGATTTGATCTGCTTGGCAGTGTGATTTCTCACCGTAGATTAAGATTTTGGCTCGGGTGATGGGTGCACCAAAATCTCACAAATCACCACTGAAGAACTTACTCATGCAAGCAAATATCACCTGTATCCCAATAACTTATGGGAAAAAATATTTTGGCTCCTGAATTTGGTATAATTGAGTGATTCAAGTCAGGTCTCTTTGGGCCTGACTTCTCAAGACCCCGAGTCTATAGAACTGACAATAGCAACCACTTACATTTGTATAGTAATTTACAGTTGATAAGCCTTCTGACCAATGTCGTATCATTTAGTTACAATATGTCTGTGAGTTAGTTATTATGATCTCTGTCTAATAAGACTTGGAAAAGTTAAGTGAGTTTCTCAATGCCATCTAGTAAGAGGAATACAAGACACAAAACCTAGTGCTTCTGAGGCTAAATTCAGAGCTTCTGCACTACCAGGGACAGGTGAGTACACAAATGTGTAAGAACTCATGAGATTGAGTTTGAAACAACTTGCAGGCTTACCAATATCTTGCTACAAGAGATATTGTAGCAATATCATTTATCTGTTTCTAGATAAAGGAGGTATTTTTTTAAAGCTTATTTAGCTGTCACCCCCAATCTCCTCATTCCCCATCCAGCCGTAGGAAACCCACTAACCAGAAACCTACTTTCTGACTCTATAGATTTACCTATTTTTGACATTCCACATAAATGGAATCATACAATGTGTGGTCCTTTGTGTCTGGCTTCTTTCACTTAGTATAATGTTTTCAAGGTTCATCCAAGTTGCAGCATATATCAGTGTTTTAATTCTTTTTTTATTGTCAAATAATATTCCATTGTATGGATCTACCACAGTTGGTTATCCAGTCATCAGTTGGTGGACATTTTTGTTGTTTCCACTTTTTGACTATTGTGAATAGTGCTGCTATAAACATTCATGTACAAGTTGTCTTGTGAACATGTGTTTTCATTTCTTTTGGGTATATAACTAGGAGTGGAATTGCTGGATTGTATAACTGTAAGTTTAACCATTTGAGAACTGCCATATTGTTTTCCAAAGTGGCTATTCATATTATATTCCTACCAACAGTATATGAGAGCTCCAATTTTCCATAGGCTTACCAATACATGTTGTTATCTGACTTTCTGATTATAGCTATCCTAGTGGGTATGAAGTGGTGTCTCATTATGATTTTGATTTATATTTCCCTGATGGCTAATGATGCTGAACATCTTTTTATATGCTTACTGGTCCTTTGTGTATCTTCTTTGGTGAAATATGTATCCAAATCCTTGGTCCATTTTTAAATGGGGTTATTTGTCTTTTTATTATTGAGTTGTACTAGTTATTTGTATATCCTGGATACAAGTCCCTTATCAAATACATAATTTGAAAAAACCTTTGTCTCATTTTATAGGTTGTCTTTCCTCTCTTGACTTTGTCCTTTGTATTACAATAGTTTTTAATTTTGCTGATAACCAATTTATCTATATTTTTCTTTTATTGTGCTTTTGGTGTAAGGAGGGTATTTTTGAATAAAGAAAAAAGTTGATTACATGTCTAAATGGCATTAATTATTACTTCAAGGTAAAGTATAAAAGAAAGCACAGTTTCTGAGGATAAGTGTCTGTTTTTATAGAGTTTGCATTGTGATGAAAGAAAAAGTAAAGAAAGAAAAAAGATAGAACACAATAAGGAAAGGATAGATAAAATGTTAAGAGTAAATATTAAAACAAATTTCAACCATATCTTATTACTAGCAATGTTTATTATTGTCCCACTTCTTTGTAGAGCAAACATCATATCAGCAGAGTAAATCTATCAAATATTGACATTTGGATTTTTTCACATTTTTCTAGACACGGAAACAACCATGACTATATTGTACATTTTTCTTTAGAACTAGTATAGGTCAGATGAGTTGTCCAAATATGTTGGTATATGATTTAATGGTTGATTTTAAATTACTTTATGTATATATCATTACTAAAATAGCACCTTGCTTTACATAGAGGTCTTAAAACTTCTTCTGAACATTATATAGTCTCTTTTTAGAAAACAAGATATATGTACCTTCTACCCTTTACACAATTAGATTTCTTTCCTCATCTGTTGACAGGTATTTTATGAGTCACATCTGCAATATCCAGTAATCTGCTGCAAGAAATAGTGCTGATTTCATTAGAAAATAATTTGTCTTTCAAAACACTTCTTCAATACTCTAAACAATCTCTAATAATATAACTTAATAATATATAATCAAGGAAAATGCTAGGTACAGCAAAGGAAAAATAAGCAAATTCAGCTCAGTGTTAAATGAAGACACTTTTCCTGAGATTCTCCTTAACTCAAGTGAAGGAATGGATAAACAATTTTAATCTTTGAATTTTCACATATAAATACATGTGTGTGTAATTATGATGTTTATGATTGCTCTGTACCTAGGTTTATATCTAGGTTTAGTTTTATTTACTCATCAGAATTCTGAAGTGTTGATGGGGTACATATTCTAGGAGTACTAGGATGGTTACAGAATTCAAACAGTAAGGCTTAAGCTCTTAATCAAAGTTGTAACTAAACTGTTATTTTTTGGGGGAAATATCTATCAAATGATTTAAACCTAAACATGCAAACACTATATTTAAGATGGTAATTTAGACATAAACTCAAGTTATGATTTCTGACCTCCCTGTTTATTTTCTTTTTTGAGAAGGAGTCTCGCTCTGTCACCCAGGCTGGAGCGCAATGGCGCGATCTTGGCTCACTGCAAGCTCAGCCTCCCGGGTTCAAGTGATTCTCCTGCCTCAGCCTCCTGAGTAGCTGGGATTACAGGCACCCACCACCATGTCCAGCCAATTTTTGTATTTTTAGTAGAGATGGGGTTTCACCATGTTGGTCAGGCTGGTCTCGAAATCCTGACCTCAGGTGATCCACCTGCCTCGGCGTCCCAAAGTACTGGGATTACAGACGTGAGCCACCATGCTTGGCCCTCCCTGTTTATTTTCAATTTTTCTATTTCAACTAATTCCAACCTTTTTTTCTATGCACACTTTTTTACTAGAAAGTTCTTCTGTGGCTGATGCTGCTTGTCTAACATGAAGTCCAAATCTTCCTAGGTTTTGGGCTAGTTTCCCAGAATGTGGGATATTTTTGTAACAAAGTGACTAGAAGTTTTTTTCCCTCTTACATCTAATTGATTTGTTTTTCCAAAATTTAACTCTTTCAGTTGCCAGAAACACACACAAACACACACACACACACACACACACAAATGATCTGAGCTCTTATTTCTTCTGTTTAGTTTAGTTTCTTCCATTTCTTGTTTTTCAGCCATTTCATTTTGCTTCCAAAAAGCAAGAGCAAATGCTCATAATGCACAGGTGCTCGTGCTCTCAAAAGAATCCTGTAGGCAAAGCAGGTGACCTGATGCAAGCAAGTCAGAGCTCTTTTAACTGAACTCCGCTTTGCTTACTTGCTCCAGTTTTTCAAAAACAATAACCCACACAAATGTCCCTTGGATGCTGGACCATTACTGCCCTTGTGCCACTTTCTAGTTCACTCCCTCACTTCTGCCACCACTGAGGCATATACTCCCCAATAGTCTGCTGTTTGGAAACTTAGCCTGTTCATGCCAGTTGAACTCGTTATTAGAACTATGTAATTTAATAGAATACTGGGGAAACCAAAGAAGAAATGATTACACAAAGAAAAGGGTATTGTTTTATGAAAATAAAATTAAATGTTTTGGAAAGAGTTTAAATTTTGCTTAAAATTAGTATGGAAAATGAACCGATAAGCTTGGGGAAAAGGCAACAAAAGTAGAGTTATTTAACTAAGTCTGAATTTTAAAATGACCTAGTTGCATTTACTCATAAATGTGTATTATCTTATCCTACAAACATTTACTGAGCATTTACTATGTGTACTAAATAGCTGAGTAGGTAGGAATATAAAAACAAGTAAATCACAGATGTTAAGATAATAAAGTCTAGCGGGGAAAGAAGTTGTGTGAACATGCATATTGCAAGAAAATGTCATGGCTATATTAAAGGAGTGTTTTTTAAAGCCTGGAAATGTTTAAATAAACGTGTTATTGGCTCCCAAGGGACATTTAAAAATAATGATTTGTCTCCTCTGATGATATGCAAAGTTTTATAAATATAAAACATTTGAAAAACAGAAAAATGTAAAGAAGAAAATAAAAACCATCTCCAGTTCGACTACCCAGATAATTACTATAATTTTTTGGTGGATTTTCTCTCAATCTTCTTTTTCTCCTTCTTTAAACATTGTGTGTGTGTGTGTGTGTGTGTGTGTGTGTGCATGTGTGTAACATGCTATATTAATTATATCATTTTATTGTATTATATTATTTAACACTAAAATTATATAATTATTTATAAGTTCTCATACATAAATCATTTTCTTTTTACAATATTGGGATAATTTTGTCTCCCTTTAACAGGTTTTAAAACATATTAATGACAACATAGTATTTAAACACAATTTTTAAAATTATTAAATATCTATATTGAGAACAATTACATAAATAAACAATATTAGACTTAAAGGTGTCAGCCCAGGAGAAATTTCTTTTTAATTTTTATTTTAAGTTCCGGGTACATGTACAGGATGTGCAGCTTTGTTACATATGTAAACATGTGCCATGGTGGTTTGCTGCACCTATCAACCCATTGCCTAAGCCCAGCATGCATTAGTTATCTTTCCTAATGCTCTTCCTCCCCCACCCCACCCCCTGACAGGCCCCAGTGTGTATTGTTCCCCTTCCTGTGTCCATATGTTCTCATTGTTCAGCTTCCACTTGTAAGTGAGAATAATGTGGGGTTTGGTTTCTGTTCCTGCGTTAGTTTGCTGAGCGTAATGGCTTCCAGCACCCATCCATGTCCCTGCAAAAAGCATGATCTTGTTCCTTTTTATGGCTGCGTAGTATTCCATGGTGTATATGTATCACATTTTCTTCATTCAGTCTAACTGATGGGCATTTGGGTCGATTCCATGTCTTTGCTATTGTGGATAGTGCTGCAATGAACACACGTGTGCATGTATCTTTGTAATAGAATGATTTATATTCCTTTGGGTATATACTCAATAATAGAATTGCTGAGTCAGATGGTATTTCTGGTTCTAGATCTTTCAGGAATCACTACACTGTCTTCCACAATGGTTGAACTAGTTTACATTCCCACCAACAGTGTAAAAGCATTCCTATTTCTCCAGAACTTTGCCAGCATCTGTCATTTCTTGACTTTTTAATAAATGCCATTCTGAATGAAGTGAGATGGTATCTCATTGGGGTTTAGGTTTGCATTTATCTAATGATCAGTGATGTTGAGCTTTTGTTTAAATGTTTGTTGGCCACATGAATGTCTTCTTTTGAGAAGTGTCTATTCATGTCCTTTGCCCACTTTTTAATGGGGCCATTTGTTTTTTTCTTGTAAATTTGTTTAAGTTCCTTGTAGATTCTGGATATTAGACCTTTGTCAGATAGATAGATTGCAAAAATTTTCTCCCTCTCTGAAGGTTACCTGTTTGCTCTGATGGTAGTTTCTTTTACTGTGCAGAAGCTCTTTCGTTTAATTAGATCCTAATTGTCAATTTTTGCTTTTGTTGCAATTGCTTTTGGCGATTTTGTCATGAAATCTTTGCCAGTGCCTATGTCCTGAATGGTATTGTCTAGACTTTCTTCTAGGGTTTTTGTTTTTATCATTTTGGGTTTTAAATTTAAGTCTTAATCGATTTTGAGCTAATTTTTGTGTAATGTGTAAGGAAGGGGTCCAGTTTTAATTTTCTGCATGTGGCTAGCCAGTTTTCCCAGCACCATTTATTAAATAGGGAATCCTTTCCCCGTTGCTTGTTTTTGTCAGGTTTGTCGAAGATCAGATGGTTGTAGATGTGTGGTCTTATTTATGAGTTCTCTATTCTGTTCCATTGGTCTATGTGTCTGTATTTGTACCAGCACCATGCTGTTTTGGTTACTGTAGCCTTGTAGCATAGTTTGAAGTCCAGTAGCATGATGCCTCCAGCTTTGTTCTTTATGCTAATGTTCTTTATGCTTAGGATGGTCTTGGCAATACAAGTTCTTTATTGGTTCCATATGAATTTTAAATAGTTTTTTCTAATTCTGTGAAGAATGTCAATGGTAGTTTAATGGGAATATCATTGGATCTATAAATTACTTTGGGCAGTATGACCATTTCCATGATATTAATTCTTCCTATCCATGAGCATGGAATGTATTTCCATTTGTTTGTGTCCTCTCTGATTTATTTGAGCAATGGTTTTTAGTTCTCCTTGAAGAGGTACTTCACTTCCCTTGTTAGCTGTATCCTAGGTATTTTATTCTACTTGTAGCAATTGTGAATGGGAGTTTATTCATGATTTGGCTCTCTGCTTGCCTGTTGTTGGTGTATAGGAATGCTTGTGACTTTTGCACATTGATTTTGTATCCTGAGACTGCTGAAGTTGCTTATCAGCTTAAGAAGCTTTTGGGCTGAGACGATGGGGTTTTCCAGATATAGGATCATGTCATCTGCAAACAAAGATAATTTGACTTCCTCTCTTCCTATTCAAATACGCTTTATTTCTTTCTCTTGCCTGATTGCCCTGGCCAGAACTTCCAAATACCTATGTTGAATAGGAGTGGTGAGAGAGGGCATCCTTGTCATTTACCGGTTTTCAATGGGAATGCTTTCAGCTTTTGCCCATTCAGTATAATATTGGCTGTGGGTTTGTCATAAATGGCTCTTATTATTTTGAGGTATGTTCCTTCAATGCCTAGTTTATTGAGAGTTTTTAACATGAAGGGTTGTTGGCTTTTATTGAAGACCTTTTTTTTTTGCATCTATTGAGATAATCATGTGGTTTTTGTCTTTAGATTTGTTTATGTGATGGATTATGTTTATTGATTTGCATATGTTGAACCAGCCTTGCATCCCAGGGATGAAGCCAACTTGATTGCGGCAGATAAGCTTTTTGATGTGCTGCTGTATTCAGTTTGCCAGTATTTTGTGGAGAATTTTTGCATTGATGTTGATCAGGGATATTGACTTGAAGTTTTCTTTTTTTGTTGTAGCTCTGCAAGCTTTTGGTATCAGGATGATGCTGGCTTCATATAACGAGTTAGGGAAGAGTCTGTTCTTTTCAATTGTTTAGAATAGTTTCAGAAGAAAGGATATCAGCTCCTCTTTGTACTTCTGGTAGAATTCAGCTATAAATTCATCTGGTCCTGGGCTTTTATTGGTTGGTAGGCTATTTATTACTGCCTCAATTTCAGAACTTGCTATTGGTCTCTTCAGGGATTCAACTTCTTCAAGGTTCTGTCTTGGGAGGGTGTATGTGTCCAGGAATTGATCAATTTCTTCTAGACTTTCTACTTTATTTGCATAGAGCTGTTTATAATATTCTCTGCTGGTTGTCTGTATTTCTGTGGGGTCAGTGGTGATATCCTTTTTATCATTTTTATTGTATCTATTTGATTCCTTTTTCTTTTCCTCTTTATTAGTCTAGCTCATAGTCCATTTTAATTTTTTCAAAAACCCTGCTCCTGGATTCATTGATTTTTTTGGAAGGGTTTTTCATGTCTCTGTCTCCTTCAGTTCTGCTCTGAGCTTGGTTATTTCTTGTCTTCTGCTAGGTTTGGGGTTTGTTTGCTCTTGGTTCTCTAGTTCTTTTAGTTGAGATGTTAGGTTGTTAGCTTGAGATTTTTCTAGCTTTTTGATGTTGGCATTTAGTGCTATAAATTTCCCTCTTAACTCTGCTATAGCTGTGTCCCAGAGATGCTGGTACATGGTCTCTTTGTTCTCATTGGTTTCAAAGAACTTGATTTCTGCCAACATTTTTTTATTTACCCATGAGTCATTCAGGAGCAGATTGTTCAATTTTCATGTAGTTGTGTGGTTTAGAGTGAGTTTCTTAACCTTGAGTTCTAATTTGATTGTGCTGTGGTCTGAGAGATTGTTTGTTATGATTTCAGTTCTTTTGCATTTGGTCAGGAGTGATTTACTTCCAATTATGTGATCAATTATAGAGCAAGTACCATGTGGCCTTGAAAATAATGTATATTCTGTTGTTTTGGGGTGGAGAGTTCAGTGATGGTGGCCACCCCTCCCCCCGAACTCGGTCTTCTTAGGCAGTCTCCAGCCTGCTGCGCTGGCCAGAGGGGATTCCAAGCCAGTGGGTTTAGCTTGTGGGGTTCTTTGGGAGTGAGGCCCGCTCAGAGAGGCAACTTGGCTCCCTGGCTTCAGCCTCCTTCCCACCGCAGTGGACGGATCTCCTGCATCACCGGAGTTCCCAGAGCCTGAGTATGCAAAAACTCCTGTCTCAGTGCCTACTGAGCTGCTGCCCACCCGAGCAGCTGCTGTGAGTCTGCATAGCTCTGTGCTTGGGACCCAAGGCCCTGGTGGTGTGGACTCACGAGGGGACATCCTAATCTGTGGGTTGCACGATCCATGGGAAAGCATGGTTTTCAGGGAGGAGTAGCACAATCCCTCACCTCCTCCCTTGGCTTGGGGAGGGAGCTCCGTTTGCCCCATGCAGCTACTGGGTGGGCCCTTGCTCCACCCTGCTTTTCCTTACTCTCTGTGAATCATGCCATCTCCCCAATCAGTCCCAATGAGAGAACCTTGGTACCTCAATTGAAGATGCAGAATTCACTCGCCCTTTTCATCCTTCTTGGTGGGAGCCACAGAGGGGAGCTGTTTCTGTTTGGCCATTTTGGCTGCTCCCTAGGAGAAATTAAAAACAAAAAAAGAAAAAAAGGAGTTACAGGCCAGGTGCAGTGGCTCACATCTGTAATCCCAGCACTTTGGGAGGCTGAGGCGGGTGAATAACTTGAGGTCAGGAGTTCGAGACCAGCCTGGTCAATATGGTGAAACCCTGTCTCTACAAAAAATACAAAAATTAGCCAGGTGTGGTGGTACACACCTGTAATCCCAGCTACTCAGGAGGCTAAGGTGAGAGAATTGCTTGAAAACCCAGAAGGTGGAGGTTGCAGTGAGCTTAGATCGCACCACTGCACTCCAGCCTGGGTGACAGAGTGAGACTCTATCTTAACAAAAAAAAAAAATTGTTATAAGTGACAAGTATTTGGATTACATTGTAGAGAAGCCATTGATTTTTTTTTTTTTCACATCAGTTGACCGTTTTGAAGTAATCTTAGCCACAGTGACATGGCAGGACATTGCAGATCAAAACAACTCACATACAGCATTTTAGTATTTAGGCAGGCATTTTCACTTCTACGAAATAGCTGACATCTACTGTTGAGAGAAGGGTCTCACTAATCTTGCAGATTAATGTCCATCCCCTTCCTTGCACTTTCTCTTCCTGGCTAAGAAATAGTATCAAGGAGAGGGAAACCAAGCTGTGGTGAAGCTGAAGGTCAGTGGTTAGACAACTGCCAGGTGCCCACAGGGCAGAGTGGGGCCCAGAGCTGATTCAAAGCTCAAGGAGGTTGTGGCGGCCAATGGCCAGTCTTCCTACATTTTGTCTCTCAGAAAGAGGGCTCTGATGCGCTCATCTACCAGATGTGTTTTCACTGAAACTCAGCCTTGTGATTCTATGGGCACAGATATTATGTCCATGAAACAATGGATGCAGACTTGCTTTGGAAGTCTGAAGTTCAATGCATTATGATCTGCTGACTATTCTTAAGGAGTTGGTACATCTGGGACCTTTCTTTCTGTACTGCTTCATCAGTCTTTCACCACTGAACATTGTCTTCTCCCACAAGAAAATTTGCTGGGGCTTTGATGAGGGACCCTGATCGGAGACGCTGTGCTCACGGGGAAATAGAGGCAGGGCTCCTGGGCCGGGTCTAGAGGAAAGCTGCCCCTCACTCTGTGCACTGGTAGCTTGCAGAGCTTTGTGCAGGTGTCTCACCCAGGCACTCTGCACACTGGTGTAGATAACATCACAAGTTTGTGGCTTATGAACTAGCCAGCGCCATCAGGTCTCTTTCTGGGAATCCTTCAGCCTCTTCTTGAATCACCTACTTATATTGTTCCAGCTCTGGACTTTGCTCTTAGTCTCCACTCCTGCCTGGAAACAGAACCCTAATTCTTCACTTGATTTCCTGTCACACATTCTCCTGGATTTGTTTAATGATTAGAGATGATTCTCTCTAACTATGGGTACAGTTCAGAGGCATGTGACCTGTCCAGAGCTTGGCTTAATGCTCTCCTGTCACTGCCTTAAAATTCCTAATAATTTTTGAACAAGGATCCTGAATTTTCATTTTGCAAATGACTCCACAAATTATGTAGCCTGTCCTGTCTGTGACACCTAGCCACAACAAGCCACTCAGCCCATTGCCATGGCTACCCCCAAATACCAGCCTGGCTAAGGCCCTGGGCAGAGGGGAGTCAGACTGATGAGGCTGAGGTCCCTACTCTTTCTCTCCTTGCCAAAATGGGTAAAACAGTACCCATAGCTAGAGGGAATCAGTGATGCCCGCTGAGGCTGCCATGGGGAAGTCAGGAGTTGAGAGCTAATTTAATAACATTTGAATTGAGATGTTGGGAGCTAACACTGGCTCAATCTTTCCTTCTTGCTGTCAGGCTTTAATGAAAAACAAAGAAAGGAAATAAAGCAGCAGCCAGCGGCCATTCTCCACCTCCACAGCTTGGAAACCTGAAGGAGACCTGAGCTGGTGTGAGGGAGATTTAAACGGAATAAGTTTAGACTTATGTGATTTTGGGATAACATTAGGTTTTTACTTATTTATTAGTGCCTTATTACTTAATAGTAATCATGTGAACTATGAGTTCTGTCCAATATTCACTCAGAGGTAGAGAAAGAACAAGTTGAGAGTGTAGGTTCGAAGAGACAGTGGCAAGAGGAAAAAAGTTGTATTTTGCTTGCACCCTATTGAATCCAGCTTATTTAATAAACTAGATTCAAGAGCCTTACTTCCTGAAGACCAGTGGGAGGATGAGCAAGCGGATCATGAGGGCGTAACTCAAATTAGACTGCAAAGCCTACTCTTGTTATTCATGAGGCTAGCCCCAAAATAATGCAAGGATTTATCTAGTTCCTACTAAAATAACAACTACCATTTTAAGGTGTTTACTATGTTTTATGAATTACATAATTGCCACCTCACAATGAGATATTTCAATAAATTGTGTGTGAGAAAGACTAAAGTCACTAAGTCATAGAGTGGGTAAGTGTAGAAGCCAGCACTGAAAGCCAGGCTTGTCAAACTCTGGAGCTTATGCTCTCAACCATTACCTTATTCTGTCCTTACAGGAGCTAAAAAACTGAGTTCTTCTGATTTTTCAGCATGCCTTTTTAGGCAGTCTTTTTTGCAATACTCATATATAATAACGAGTAAAATAGCATCATTTCCAACCAAACAAAAGCAATGAAATATCTTTCTCACTTACTTTCCCCTATTCTCTTGCTCTTTCATATTTATACATAAAAACCACAAAACAAATAACAAACAACTCACTCAAACTGATTACAATAAAGTTAAAATTTGAGCATATGTATAGTTTTTGAAAATCCCATTCAGCTGGAAAAACAAAAGAAAGAAAAAATGTTTTAACCTAGTCTGTTGTCTGTATCAAGTTTCAGATGGTGAAGGAAACCATGAAGAGAATTACTGTTCTAGAGAAAATTTGATCAGCAAGGAAGAAGTTCTTGGTAAAGTAGGACAGGACCATATTGTCCCTTGTCAGATGTAACCCCAGAGTTCCAGGAAATAGCATAAAGCTAAGAGAATAGAATTAGGATCTCAGAACTGCAAATGACCATGAGAAAAAGAGGACTGTATCTGAGAAACAGACATAGCTACCCAGAGCTCTCTCCATCAATCTTGGTTTACATAAGAACAGGCACATTACGTGAAAGAATAAATACTTGAACCAGGAATTACATGGACCTGGACGAATGGTATGAAATAGGCTGATATTCAGAATAAACACAGGTTTATACAGTCTCTCCCTAATCCCAGCTCAAGCACCTTACACACTCAACATTTTCAAAAATGAGGACGTTCTTCTCAACCCTGGATGAAGCTTGGAGAAAGGCTATTGATTTTTGAGAATGGAAGAGGCCAGGCTCAATTTCCCAGTCTCATGGATGATAGGGACAGCAGAAAGACCAGCTGATTCAATAACTGTCCCCTACTCAGGGAACCTTGATTTGGTTCTTTGGTGATCCTCCTGCAAATTTCAGGTTGTCTGAACCAGAGAAAGGAAGCACATTCAGAACACAGAATAGGATTTTAATAATAATTTTTAATAGAGAAGCCCATTTCCCTCCACCCCACTCCTATCCTTTATGATATGTGGTGGAAAAGAGTTGTAATGATCAAAATTATTTTCTAGCAGAAGAATGTGATTTTGAGGGGAAATCTTTAGCCCATTTGGAGAAGGTGAGACCCTAAGTAAGGAAGTTGCACAGCGAGAAGCTCAGACATACCTACCTCAGAAGGCCATTGCGGGCGTGAAATGCTAAGATCTGTAAAGCACAGGGAACAATGCCTGGCATGCAGTAGAATATCACAATTTTCTATTGTTGTCTTCTATAGGATCTTGCTCAGAATGAATCTCAAGATAAGAAGTCTTTTGTCTGCTATAACTATATTCTTTACTTTTTAAAAATGAAAACAGCATTTGCCCATCTGTAGACTTTTCATATCTGTCCTCTTTGTCTATCTCTAAAAACCAGAAAACAAAAACCCAGCTCTCCTGTAGGTACTCCATGCTCTTTGCAAGCAGGAGAATATAATTCATGAGGACCAGGAGAGTTGCATAAAATTTACAATTCCCCTCTCTATTTTTGAACTTCAGTTGTTTTCCTCTCAAATTTGGACTTTGCACCATTAATATCACTTTCATTGATAGATAAACTTGAGTGGAATGGACATTTGGTAGTTTATTCTTTATATTATCCATTCCCCAAAACTAAGTATATGCTTTTCTTGCTCTTGTTCCTTCTTCAGAGTTTAAATGACATTTTAATAGCTCTTAACGTCTTATATAAAGGTGTCTAGGGATGCACTGCTCTGCCTGCCATGCCATTCCAACCTCTCACCCCTTGGGCGAGTGAGGACTTCTGAGAGGTGGCGTGGAGGGTGAGTTTGGGCAATAGCCCTTCATACTCATCCTGAAAGGCAGCCCCATTCGCTAAAACAAGGAGGTGGAGAGAGAACACAGGAAGAGTTGAAGGAAGATCTTCCTCAGCTCAGATCCTAATGCCCGCCAGTTCCTTCCTCACACACCCCTCTGCCTCTTTAGAACCTGAGTCTTCTCCTCTAGTAGAAGGTTAGAGACATCACATGATGGCTTAACTCAGTCCAATCATGGATGAAACACTGAAATCCACCAAGGAAAGGAAATTTGTGAAAATCGTATAGAATCTGTAAAAGTAAAAGTTATATGAATATTGAACACATAAAGTCAAAGCTTACTTGAATATATGTGGAGAAAATTCCCTGAGAACATACCCTGTGATAGCACAAATCCAACTAACACAGAGTTGGCAACTGGTACTTGTTCTGGGCTAACATTTCTCACGTGCTGTCACAACTCGTTGCTGGGAGAATTAAGCCCATCCTATGTGGCTCCTCTGGAAGAAGACTCTTGAAAGCCTGCTCCTCGTTTCCTCCGGACTTTGCCGCTTGAATCTTTTTCCCGGGTTGATTAGGCTTAGTGTCTTTTACCTGTAATAAGTCATGACTACGAGGATCACTATAGGTTGAGTCCTGTGAGTCCTCGTAGGGAATCATCAAACCTGAGGGTGGTCTTGGGAACCCCAACTCAGTATCCTTGAAATGTTTTCTATTCCCTGTGTCTTTTCAGGGGCTAGTTCACTACAGAAATATTTCTAGTAGGGACAGAGAACTGTTTCCATACTATGTATCAATTTCTGGCCCTGCATAGACTAAATGAGAGGGGAGGCCATGTTAATTCACCCAAGGTGTAAAATTAATGATTTTTTATCCAAGTCTTCTCCTGAACATACATATTATAGAAGAATGACTTTTGAACTTAATTATTCAGCTATGGGATCCTTTATATGTAGAAAAACCTTATGGAAAGGCCAATACATGAAATATTTCAAAGTAAGGCTGCTCTGGTTGGGGAAGCCCTCAGAACCTTACCTGTTCATGTTCCTTCCCCCTTTCTGACATCAAGCTGGAAAATTCAACTTGGAGCTTACTTTAAAAAAAAACTGTATACCATAAATGAGAGCATTATGCAAGTTTATGTCCTCACAGAGGGAAATAGATGGTAAAGTAATTGCAATATTTACTAGTTAACTTATAAACAGAATACCAAAATTAGGTTATGACAACATCGTGTTCATTTCTTTAATCAGAAAGGAAACTCTGAACAAGAGAAAGTCATAGATGGCATAGCTAAGGGCATAACTGAAGTCCCACTTCTATATCTGACTGTTTTCCCTTAGCACATAAAGAAGAAAGTAGAGAACTAATTGTTTTTAAAGTATCTGTTATGAGCACACTATGTATTATTTCTTATAATGTTTAGATAGCCATGAGAGCTACTTTCTCTCCATTTTAATGACCGGGAGGCAAATCCTCACATTGTTGCAGAGTTGGGATTTGAATCCAGCTCTGACTCATTGCCACAACATACTGAACCTCTCAGTGTCAGTCTGTCAGATCATTCACTGTTTGACCCAACTATCTGGCTTACTAACCTCATGTGCTATGTTTCTTTCTCTTCTAGCTGCTAAAGTCTTTTTATCTGCCTAAAGAATGGCTGGAAGGCCCTACTTCTGTATGCCCTGCAAAACAGATAGATTAGGGGAAAGACATCTGATCATCCCTCTTCAAATAGAAGGCATTGAAATCTGGATGAGCATGTAGCCAAAAATATCCTCAATGGTTCGGCAGTCCTTGCTAAACTGAGCACACAGGAAATGTGCTTTAATTACCACTGGCCACGTCTATCTGAAAGATATTTTGCTGTTTGTGACTGTTTCTTAGCCTGATGCTTTTGTTTAAAAAGTTGGTTCCTGATAGCTGCTTGTCATCCTGAGTTTCCTAATTGGCTCCAGTTTTTCTGTGTTTCTTGAAGTTGTGCTTCAGTGAATCCTGAAAGCATTTCCTCTTTCCTCCCAGCTCATGATTATCTCACTTCAGCTAGTCACACAACAGCTGTCTGGGATCCAGCTGTCACCCTCCAATGCACGTGAGCAGTCCAGCAGAACGACATTACTGTGTACCCTGGCTTCACTCCAAGACTGGGGGGGTGACATTACTCCTCTTGGATGATGGAGGATTGACGAATGAAGGAAGTTAGGACAAAGTTCATAGCTGTAAACACCCTATCCATCAGCAAGGTGTAGTTCCAACAGGTGACAGATATTTGAACAGCAGAGATAACATGTACTTTTATTTTTATTTATTCACTCCCTCAAGGCTTAAAGACAACAGTGAGATAGTATATACTTCTCAACACTGGCTATGAAACATGCTGGGAATAAGGAGATTCAACTCTAGACAGAAAAAAGGCGGGGCACCAGGAAACCAGCCAGCTTGGCATAAAGGTCAGAGTAGTCAACAGAAAGAAGTGCACCACTCATTAGCAAAGACCAAGACCAAGAAGAGAAGCAAAATAGATTCAGTTTGGGTCCACACTGGACTCAAGAGGTTTTTTTTTTTTTTGAGATGGAGTTTCGCTCTCGTTGCCCAGGCTGGAGTGCAATGGCATGATCTCAGCTCACCATAACCTCCACCTCCAGGTTCAAGCAATTCTCCTGCCTCAGCCTCCCGAGTAGCTAGGATTACAGGCATGCACCACCATGCCTGGATAATTTTTGTATTTTTAGTAGAGATGGTGTTTCTCCATGTTGGCCAGGCTGGTCTCGAACTCCCGACCTCAGGTGATCTGCCTGCCTCAGCCTCTGAAAGTGCTGGGATTACAGGCGTGAGCCACTGCACCTGGCCAAGAGGTTATTTTAAAGGATTATTAAAAGGATTATCAATTTAGCTAGTATTGTACATTTTAATCCTTGAAACCTAAGAAGTATGTATCATTAATTCTGTTTTATAGATGAGAAAATCATGGCTCTGAGAATTTAAGAACTTTGCCCATGGTAATGTCATTAGTAAGTGGTAGAGCCAGGATATGAACCTGGTTCAGCTTAACTGAAAGCAGGTGCCAGTCAACTATGCCACACTGTGATCAAAACCAAGGCAGCAGTATCAAGGTACAATTCTAAAACGGAACTCTTTATGGTCTCCCAGAAATGAGTCTTCCTTTGTTCTTTCTTTATCTTAGTTACTGGCACCAGGATTCATGCATGCCAAGTCTGAAAGCTGGGACCCATCTTGATGCCTGCTTCTCTCTCACTCTTCAAGATTCATCTCATACATTGCCTCCTTTACAAGTCTTCTTTTACCTCCAGGTTAAATACTTCCTCCATTATAAGCCCATACAATCTACAGCATCCTGTTAACATATTATGTGCATATTTTCCTCTTCCACTTTAACTGGGCATCTCTAGAGGTTAGAGATGCATTCCACACATCTTTGTATCTCCATCACACAGCAAATGACTGTCACATAGTTCGTAGTTTAAACGAATAATTGAAATAATAGAAAGGACGGATGAATGAATGAGTGCATACCAGAATATAAAGAAAAGTGTGTTTCCTTGCCATTTTTTTTTTCCTTTTAGCATTAACTAGAAGAGAATTTTTCACCCAAGAATGTTGAATATTATAGTGGACCTTGTCTTTGGTGGCAGTTTTACAAGATGTGTGGGAGGGAAATAACAAGTACACAATATGTTTACAGTTTTAATAATCACTAATTAAGCACTTTGGATGGGCATAGGCCACCAGATATTTTTAAGGAAAACAATGGCTTCTCCAGGATACTTAATAAACATTCAGTTACGGAAAGCTACTTTGGGCATTAAGGATGCCAAAATTCATGTTGAAGATTCTTCAAGGGGTGCATTTTTTTTTCCTGGTGTAGACACTGGATACATGTGCTTTCTGGATCCTCTCCCTTCAATTGTACAAAGCTTAGCAGAAGTCACTTGGCAAGTCTAAGACTAACTGTGGCTGATCACCTGCACCTATTTGTCTCAATGTGATGCCTGAGCCCTGTGGAATTGTTTCTACTTGCTTCATAGATCTGGGGAAAAACTATGGTTGCACTTCTTGTATTTTTCCAAATAATTGTTCGAGAGGACCACTTTTCTTATTAACAGAAAGTCCAGAATCACTGTTAATTCCTTTTCCACAACACTAATTTTCCACAACCTTGAGGGTTTGATTAATTTGGGAAGGGGGGCTGGGGTTAGCACTGCTTCCAAATGCCAAGTACAAAGCAAACCAGAATAGTGGTTGAGTCCACCGCTGCCCTTGCTTCTTGCTGCTGCATTCAGTTGTCAGATGGTTGGTGAATGGACCACTGTCTGTCCAGGGCTCACTAGTGCCCTCTTAGAATCCTAGGCTGAAACTCTTCATTTCACACCCATGTGGCCAGAGGCTTTTCTAAAAGGACAACCACTGAGCTAAGATATATGGTGATTCTGGCTTCAGTTACCCTCTGTGCTGGAACCAGCCCTCCCCCTCCCACCAATTCTTAAGACCTTGTATAGAATGAAGATCATCAAAACTGACTCCCCTTGAACAATGTGGAGTTTTTGATGATCTTTCCTGCCAGTGAAGTCTTGTCAAAGCCACTTGGCCCACTGGATTCTCTATCTTACAGTCTCAGAGAAGTAGGGGTTAAGTCTGCCTTCTTGCCTCCAAATCCTCAGGTTCCTATACAAATAAGTCCTCTTTTCCTCAGAAATCACTGCTTTTCAGAATATTTTGAGGAATAACTTGCCTCTCTCCCTTCATCTGGAGCAGGGAGTATTATACAATGAGAAGGTCCGCTCCAGTGCTCTATGTTCCGCTCTGTCTTTGTCTCCATATCGCTATGTTCATCTGTATCTCTATCTCACTCTATCTACCTCTTTCTATAGAGATAACAATTGTTCATTACCCACAGGGAGAATCATCAGATTTTCATTAATACTTATTTTTGTCACAGTATCAGCAGTATCATTGGCCACAAAATGAATGGTTATAGAGCCTAAGGGTAGACTAACCCATGCTATGTAATTACTAGAGAAGCCTATAAACTGATTGAACTTCAGATTGTCTTATGATGAGCTGAACGTCCGTGAGAAGACTATCTCTCAAATATTTATATTTACTAAAAACTGTACTTTTTCTTAACTGGGTATTGTTTATCTTAAAAACACTGTGAATGTAACATTTGATTGATTTCTTCTTGGCTAAAAAATTCAGAATTAAATGAACAGAACCTCACAGTAAGCATGTATTTATTCTAATATTTACCCTGATTTATCAAAAATTGTTTTTTATTTTATTGAGTGGATACATTTTCTTAATATATCTTTAAGATGTTAAATTTTAAATATTTTTGGATAAAAATTATGTCACAAAAACCAGGAGGGGTTTTCTAGTATCTTCTTTGTATAAAAGCAACAATTTTTTTTCTTTCCAACTTTTATTTTAGGTTCAAGGGGTACATGTGCAGCTCTGTTACACGGGTAAATTGCATGTCATGGGGGTTTGCTGTACAAATAATTTTACCACCCCCGTAATCAGCATAATATCCAATATGTAGTTTTTCAATCTTTCCTCCTTCACCCTCAAAAAACTCCATTGTCTATCATTCCCTTCTTTGTGTCCATGTGTACTCAATGCGTAGCTTAAAGGTGAAAACGTGTCGTATTACGTTTTCTGTTCCTGAATTATTTTGCTTAGGCTAATGGTCTCCAGCTCCATCCATGTTTCTGCAAAGGAGATGATTTTATTCTTTTTTTATAGCTGCATAGTATTCCACGGTGTATATGTACCACACATTCTTTATTCAGTCCACCACTGATGAGCATCTAGGTTGATTCCATGTTTTGTTGTTGTTAATAGTGCTGCAGTGAACATATGTGTGCATGTGTCTTTATGACAGAAGGATTTATATCCCTTTGAGTATATACTCAGTAATGGGATTGCTAGGTTGAATGGTAGTTCTATTTTAGGTTTTTTGAGAAATCTCCAGACTGCTTTCTGCAATGGCTGAACTAACATACATTGCCACCAGTAGTGTAAAAGCATTCCCTTTTCTCTGCAATCTAACTAGCATCTGTTATTTTTTGACTTTTTAATAATAGCCATTCTGACTGGTGTGAGATGGTATCTCATTGTAGTTTTCATTTTCATTTTCCTAATAATTAGTCATATTGAACATTTTTTTCATATGCTTATTGGCTGCATGTATGACTTCTTTTGAGAAGCGTCTGTTCATGTCCTTTGCCCATTTTTTAATGGGGTCATTTGTTTTTTGCTTGTTGATTTGTATAAATTCCTTATAGAGTCTGGATTTTAGACCTTTGTCAGATGCATAGTTTGCAAATATTTTCTCTCACTCTGTAGATTGTCTGTTTACTCTGTTGGTAGTTTCTTTTCCTGTACAAGAGCTCTTTAGTTTAGTTAGTTCTCACTTTTAATTTTTATTTTCATTATAATTGCTTTTGGAGTCTTCATCATGAAGTCTTTGCCAGGACTGATATCCAGAATGGTATTTCCTAGGTTTTCTTCCAGACTTTTTATAGTTATGGATTTTATATTAAAGTCTTTAATTCATCTTGAGTTGATTTTTGTATATGGCATAAAGAAGGGGTCCAGTTTCAATCTTCTGCATATGGCTAGCCAGCTATTCCAGCACCATGTATTTAATAGGGAATCCTTTCCCCATTGCTTGTTATTGTCAACTTTGTCAAAGAACAGATGGTTGTAAGTGTGCGGCTTTTTTTCCGAGTTCTCTAACTTATTCTATTGGTCTATGTGTCTGTTTTTGTACTAGTTCAATGCTGTTTTAATTACTGTGGCCTTGTAGTATAGTTTCAAGTCGGGTAGTGTGATGCCTCCAGTTTTGTTCTTTTTGCTTAGGATTGCTTTGACTATTCAGGCTTTTTATTTTTATTTTTTTGTTCCAAATGGAGTTCAGAATAGTTATTTCTAGCAGCATGATTTATAGTCCTTTGGGTATATACCCAGTAATGGGATGGCACATGCTCACGTATGTTTATTGCGGCATTATTCACAATAGCAAAGACTTGGAACCAACCCAAATGTCCAACAATGATAGACTGGATTAAGAAAATGTGGCACATATACACCATGGAATACTATGCAGCCATAAAAAGTGATGAGTTCATGTCCTTTGTAGGGACATGGATGAAATTGGAAAACATCATTCTCAGTAAACTATCGCAAGAACAAAAACACAAACACCGCATATTCTCACTCATAGGTGGGAATTGAACAATGAGATCACATGGACACAGGAAGGGGAATATCACACTCTGGGGACTGTGGTGGGGTGGGGGGAGGGGGGAGGGATAGCATTGGGAGATATACCTAATGCTAGATGACGAGTTAGTGGGTGCAGTGCACCAGCATGGCACATGTATACATATGTAACTAACCTGCACAATGTGCACATGTACCCTAAAACTTGAAGTATAATAATAATTAAAAAAAAAGAATAGTTATTTCTAGTTCTGTGAAAAATGTCGTTGATATTTTGATAGGAATAACATTTAATCTGTAAATTGCTTAGGGCAATATGGAAGGAACAATTGTTAGCATTATCTAGAGTAGGTGCATTTCAGAAAAAAAATCAGTGTGATTTACAGCCTATGCTGCTTTTAATTATATATGGTGTAATAATATACCTTTATGGGAAAAATTTCATTAATAAGACAATAAACTTTATTTACATGTTTTAGGGAAGCAGATAATGTCAATGGATTTTAATATAAAAACTCTTTTGCACTCACTAAATAATGTATTTTTAGGATATTTAAAATGTATTAATGCATTCATCAGAAACGATACCTAGTATATAATGAAGTTATTTGCCAAAGCATTTTCTTGAAGAGGTCATGAAGTCATCTTTATGGACAGTCAAAATTAAGAGTAATTTTTCTTCTAGATGACATCTCTTACATGCCATATTTGGATCCTGTCTTGTACCACTAAAGGAATGTTACCTAACTAGTGAAAGGGATGAAAGGGCCCTTGATATTCTCTCTGCTACTATTAAGTTAAGCAATGTTAAATAAAGAATCAAGAAATTGCCCCAATAATTCAACACAAATTTTCCTCCCAATCCAAATATTAAATTCTGGTTGGCTGATTTGGTTAGAATACATTTCATTTAATATTAAAAATCAGGTTCATTCACAGATGGTCAGATAACCATCTGGAAAGAAATGTTTAGTGCCACAGCCACAGACTACATCCTCAAAGCCAACAAGCAATCTCACAAATAACTTCCCAGGATATGAAACAGATAACATGTGAGAAAGATAGGCTCCAAGCTCTTTGGCACAGGCATGTGTTAACCAGATCATATTTGAAGGACAGAATGTTCGCTGTGTTCATTGCTTAAGTGCACACCCAAGCATCAGAGTCTGCTTATATCATGTCTAAACTTCACCTTGCTTTTGGGAGGAGCTCATCTTATCATCCCAAGTGGTCTTCTGTTCTTCTTTTGGGTGTGTTATTTTTCACTCCCAACTTTGTGCCATCCAAAAATCTGATAAGCAAATGTCTTGCATCTTCTCTTATGTCAGATGGCTAAGCAGCCTAGGGCCAAGTAGAAAGACATATGCCTGGCACTAGAGACCTCCATCTGGATTGACTGAGACCCTTTTTATCACAGATTCCTGGCACCTTTTCCCCTTAGTAATAAATCCTCCTTAATGTACTCTCCTTATGTTCACGTCTCTTCATCTGCTTCACAGACACATCTTGCCTGGAAAGAACGTATGAGGCCTTCTCACATTCCACATTGCCCCTATCCCAGCCTAAACTGCTAACATACATTGCATTTGTGCTTTACTGTAGTATTTGCCACTTTATTTTCATTTCATTTTTATTATATGATTTTGTGGTGTACAACATATTTTGATACATATATTCATAGTAAAATGATTACTGTAATCAAGCAAATAAACATGTTCATCTCCTCACATAGTTGCCTTCATTTCATAGCAAGAACACCTGAAATCCACTCTCTAAGCAAATTTTCAGAATGCAATACAATATTATTAACTGTAGTCATGTTGCACATTAGCTCTGTAGACTCGCTTTTCTTTTTCTTCTTCTTCTTCCTTTTTTTTTTTTTTTTTTTGAGACAGGGTCTCACTCTCGACCAAGCTGCAGTGCAGTGGCACAATCTCATCTCACTGCAGCCTCGAACTCCTGGGCTCAAGAAACCCTCCCACCTCAGCCTCCTGAGTAGCTGGGACTATAAATGCGCACCATCACACCTGGCTAATATTTTTGTATTTTTTGTAGAGACAGAGTTTCACCATGTTATCCAAGCAGGCTGGTCTCAAATTCCTGGGCTCAAGCGATCCTCCTGTCTCGGCCTTCCAAAGTGCTGGAATTACAGGTGTGAGCCTCCACTGTGCCTGGCCAGAACTTTAGGCTTGTTCATGCTACATATCTGCTACTTTATACCCTTTAACCAACATCTCCCCATTTCTCCCTATCTGCACCCTTGTCAACCCTCATTTCACTCTCTGTTTCCATGTATTTGGCTTTTTAAGATTTCACATATTAGGGACATCATGCATTATTTTTATTTCTGTGTCTGGCTCATTTATGTAGCATAATATCCCTGAGGTTCATCCATGTGTTACCAAATGGCTGGATCCCCTTCTTTTTAAAGGATTAATAATATTCCATCATGTGTAGTATACATATACCACATCTTCTTTATCCTTTCAGCTGTCAATGGACACTTAGATTGTTTCCATGTCTTAGCTATTGTGAATAGTGCTACAATAAACATGGGCATGCAGATATCTCTTTGATATAATGATTTCATTTCCATTGTGTGTTTTCCCATCAGTGGGATTGCTGGATTGTATGGTAGTTCTATTTTTAATGTTTTGAGAAACCTACATATTGTTTTCTATAATGGTTTGTACCAATTTATATTTTCTCCAGCATTGTACAAGTGTTCCCTTTCCTCCACATCCTTGCCGACACGTTATCATTCATCTTCTTAATCATGGCTATCCTAACAAGTGTGAGAGCACATGTCATTGTGGCTTTGATTTGCATTTCCCTTATGGTTTGTGATGTTGAGCACTTTTTCATGTACCCGTTGGCCATTTTTATGTCTTCTTTGGAAGAATATCTATTCAAGTCCTTTGCCCATTTAAAAATCAGGTTATCACATGTTCTCACTCATAAGTGGGAACTGAACAATGAGAACACATGGTCACAGGGAGGGGAACATCACACACCAGGGCCTGTCGGGGGTGGGGGGTTAGGGGAGGGAGAACATCAGGACAAATACCTAATGTAGATGATGGGTTGATGGGTGCAGCAAACCACAATAGCATGTGTATATCTATGTAACAAACCTGCACATTCTGCACATGTATCCCAGAACTTAAAGTATAATAAAAAAGACAAAAATAAAAATCAGGTTATTCGTCTTATTGAGATTCAGTTGTATGAGTTCCTTACGTATTTTGACTATTAATCCCTTATCAAATATATAGTTTGCAAATATTTTCTCCCAATTAATAGGCTGACTTTTAAAAAATTATCTTTGCTATGCAGAAGCTTTTTAGTTTGACGTAGTCCCACTTGTTTATTTCTGCCTTGTTGCCTGAGTTTTTGGTGTGATATCCAAAAACATCATTTCCAAGACCAATGTCAAGCAGCTTTTCCCCTGTTTTCTTCTAGGAGTTTTAGTTTCAGGTCTTACTTAGTTTAAGCCTTTAATTCATTCTGAGTTGATTTTTTGGGTATGGTGTAGACTAAGGGTCCAATTTTATTCTTTTGCTTGTGGATATCCAGTTTTCTCAGAACCATTTCGACTTTATTTTCAACTATGTTTCTTGACAAGAAAATTCTGTGGAACAGTGTGTGTGTGTAGGACGGGGCATCTTTATGGGGATCAGAGTCCCAGTGCAAGACCAGGATCCAGTCTAAATATAGTTAGGGACATTAAATAAAAGAGAGCATCAGAAAATCAGGGTATATATTGTTCCACATTAATTGCATCTTCAGGCTTCCTTTTTCTCACAGGGAATCTTCTGGGAGGACAGCTATTCACCTGAGGAAAGAGGGCTGATCAGGAGGACTGTTGTTTTCCAACCTCAGCCCAACAAAGGCCAAGGACCAGGTCCCAAAGATATTTCTGTTTATTAAAACTATAATCATAATGACTATTGAGTATCATCTTATGTGCCAAGCACTATACTAGGAGCTTTAGGTACATTATCTTATTTATTCATGAACTCAGTAGAGAACTAGGAAAGAGACTTGAGGTCAGGTTAGTACAATGTAAACTACAGGAATCTTTGTAACTTCCTCATGTGCTTGTTTAATTCTTTTACCTCTGTAATAGCTTCAATTTCCTTAAAATGATATGATCATCATTTTAAGAGTCACAAGAAAATGTAGGACGCCCTCCTTTTACTCCAAATCCTGCTTTTAGGGAAAACAGAGCCACAGGCTGGAGAAGATTAGTGTCAGCAACAACAAGAGTGAAACACAGGAGAGTCCCTGAGTGGTGTACTGGTAAATGCTTAAAAAATGGTCCTGGGGTGGGGGAAAGCTCTGATTTGTAGTGTTGCTGATTTCCTTAGTGTAAATATTCATACCACTGCCAGTTTCAGTATACCAACATAATGTCACTGAACACGGAATTGGGAAGAGATGACGCAAGTGGCTTTTGTGAGCTGGTTGAAGGCCAGCTCCAGGACACCCCTTCGAAGAAAATTGACAGGATTTCCCTTGGGCCTAGAGACTGAAGCCAGCTGGGGTTTATTTAATGTCCCTGACTCAGCTTTGAGCTGTGTAAAGCTAGAATTGTTACTATCCATCTTGACATCCACAACTTCTAGCACAGGTTGCGATACAGAGCATGCTTATAAATGGTTTGAGAGAAAAGAGCCCAGATTTCAAGTTTGCTCTTTATTACTATGTGACAGTTTCACCTTGAAGATGTCACTTAACTTCTCTGAGCCTCAAGTTTCTCATTAGAATTACTGGAGTTTGAAGTAGTTCTTCTCCTATGTCATTTGTCTCTGAGATGCCATAAAAAGTGTATTATTTGGCCGGGTGCAGTGGCTCACATCTGTAAACCCAGCACTTTGGGAGGCAGAGGCAGGTGGATCACAAGATCAGGAGTTCAAGACCAGCCTGGCCAAGATGGTGAAACCCCGTTTCTACTAAAAATACAAAAATTAGCCAGGTATGGTGGCAGGTGCCTGTAATCCTAGTTACTTGGGAGGCTGAGGCAGCAGAATCGCTTGAACCTGGGAAGTGGACGTTGCAGTGAGCTGAGATTGCGCCACTGCACTCCAGCCTGGGTGATACAGTGAGACTCCATCTCAAAAAAAAAAAAAAAATCAGTATTTTTCTTCAGTCAAGATGCAGGTTTATAGTTTTTCTTTGATTTCTCAAATTAAAAAAAAAACATGTGTGGTTAGTTAATGAGTACAAAATAACATACAGTTGGATAGAATAAGTAAGTTCTAATCTTAGAAGAGTAAGATGGCTGTAGTTAACAATGATTTATACTTTTAAAATAGCTAGAAGAGAGGACTTGAAATGTACCCAACACATAGAAATGATAAATACTCAGATGATACCCTAAATACCCTTACTTGATCATTATTCTATGCACATAAGAAAATTTCACATGTACCCCATAAATATGTACAAATATAAGTACCCGAAAAAGCAGTGGTTAGTTTAGTGAGCCTTATTGTTTGCAAGCCCATGTGGGCCGTTAGTGATAAATGCCTCCTTTACTTAATGCTTAAAAGACAGTGTTATATTGATCAGGTATGAATTTTATAGGCTACAAGCTTAGTTGTGCAAAAATAGGGCTTTTTTAAAAACTAAGCTTGACTTTATTCTTGAACCTTCATTCTGCTCCCTAGTGGACAGTGTAATCTTCCAAAATCAAAGAAAACCATTGCATTCTGCTGTTTCTCAGGCAATTCAGGCCATTTGTACTCATGTTGGAACACCAAAATTTGTGCCTTGTAATTTTAACCTCTGCATATGGCAGATCATTGCAAATTCATAGGAGCAGCATAAATCTGCTGTGACGGCTGTTTATAAACACAAACTGAACTGGAGCAGGTTGTCTTGAAGCAATTGAGTTTGCAACTGATGTGGCCTCTTGGGAAAGAGAGCCTGGACCTTTGGTTTGTATCAGGCTGAAGTTGATTTCCAAGACACCAGTGGCAGCCAACTCACTCCATGTAGACCCATGAGGCTGCTATTGGAGGGGGCTGTGTCCATTGTACCCTAGAGGACCTTCTGTGGATGTGGAGCAGGAGGTTCACACAGGATATAGGCAGAAAGAGCAAACTCAAAATGAAATCAGCTCCCTCTGTACCAGGAGGAGAGACAATGTGGGCATTTCTTATAATATATGCCCCTCTCTGGAGCTTAGAATCAACCTCATGGAGGAAAGGGAGAGGAAAAAACCCTCAGAGAGGGTTTTAACCCCTTTCTGAATTATAAACTTGAATAATTGAGACAATGATGGAGTTTAATAGAATTTAGATTATTTTTTGTCAGATAAAATTGGGGCTGGGAGCCAGAAATCAGATTTGACTATAATGAGTTGTTGATTGTGGAATTCCTAACTGAGAAAATCATAATATATTTTAACATTTTGTTAGAAATTGACTCCAAGATTTTTGGTCTTGTGTTTTTCAAATACATTTCTCTCCTCTTCTTTGGAATGGGCAACTATTCCATTTTGATATTCTCAACATCTCCTCTGTTTTCTGTAATTATGCAAAAGTTATGAAAGTGAGCAATGTTCACATTTGCAGATTCTTTCAGTACTTTGAGAGGGAAATCATCTCTGTCTGGAGATTTTAGTTTATTTAAAGTAACGAAGAGCTTTTTTTCTCCCCAACTGCTTTCCACTTAATCCTGGGTTTCCGTTCCCTTGCCATCATGTTCATTCAAACCTTTCCAGCTTGAAGATTGCTCCTCTTTGTTTATTATGATGTACTTTTTATACTGAATAGAAAGATAAGGCTTATTTACCGGTAACATCAGTGATGGTTGATAAATAAGGGTTTGTGCTATAATTAAATGCAGCGTTTAAATTACATAATCCAAGTGAAGTGGAGAACTAATATAAACATGCAAATGAAGTTAGTCAAGAACATTTTTAATTGATCTAAATGAAGTGGTTTTGCATCTTAAATTATTTGGAAACTCTAGGTGCCTCATTTTGCCCCTTTACAGCCCAGCAGTTTTCTTGGCATTTCTCTGGCAAAGAAAAGACACTGTGGGAAAACCCTTAGACAATTAGCATTTGACTCTCTCTTGGCTAATTAAAGAAAGTCAGAGTCAAAAAAGCAATGGAAGCTTTTGAGCTCCTAATAAATTTTAAATCTTTCTGCAAGACTCTTCTCTATCACTCTTTTTCAGGAAGACAGAGATGGTTCACTGTGACACCAGTGAAGCTTAAACTTCAAGGTCCCTCCCCGGGACAGGCTCCTTCCAGTGCCCTGGAGCATGGTTCAGGCAATGTTTTCCCATGGACATAGGTTTTTGTAAAATTTGCAACACTACAGTATCTAACTGCAACCTCTTTGGGCCCTAGTTTTGTTACTCTTTGATTTCCTCTCAGTCATATTTACTCTCCAGTCAGGTGGCCTTTGAGGGTCTGTGAACATTTTTGGGAATCTTTTTCCCAAATAATGTATGTATTTATGGTTTACAGTCAGTTAAATTGTTGCCAGTATTTTCTTTGTGAGAGTGGTTTTCAGGTGGCAGTGTGCCACAGAAGGTACAGGGCCAGTGGTGGCTGGTGATACACCAGTGCCCAGTACTGGAAGCATGTGGATAGTGGAGGAGAAACAAGGCTTGAAGTGCAGAGATTCAAAAGCCAATTGGTGAAAAACTGTTCCAGTCGTTGGATGCATACAATTGTAAGCACTGTAGAGGACTTGGTTCTTCTTGTTTCCTAGTCAAAATGGACATTCTCTCATGTCGGGAATATAATCAACAATGCAACATATACAATTATCAACCCCCCATACACTGGACAGGAACTGGCAAAATAGAACATATCCGAGTTCCTGTGTTTGTAGGACATAAACTGGTAGCAATTGATGAACAGCGAGGTCTATGTGTGAGGTCATGGGCTTAAGTCTTCTCAATTTCCAATAATAAAAGACAAACTTTAATCATATTAGAAGAAAGAATGAATTAGCTTTTTGATCTCTTTTCATAATATATTAAAAATCATTGTCATAGGAAGAGGTCATATGGGAGTATGCAACCAAAAATGTAGGGAAAAGCTATTGCCAAACCATGTTAGCAGTTATTTCGTAAAACTCCTTTTGCTATTTTCAAGACTTATGCAGTATTAGAGATATTTTCAGCTTTTAAAAATTTGTAATTTATGATGACTCATTTTCTCAATCTGAACACATTTTGTAATTGTAATTTTGTATTCTTTTCCATAAATGGTCCACCAAAAACCAAAATGTGTTTTTTCAAGAGGTACCATATTTTCAAGTGATACATTCTTTGTCTTTCTCACAGATGAACACATTTCAAGTCTTATTTATTGAGAAGCTGTGATATACAAACGTGTTTCATACCTATGGTTTTCCTTGGGGAAATTTGCTCAGCCTCCCAGAGCTGATAAGCCTTTATCTGTAAAATAGAAAGAACAGGCTGGCTCACAGGGATACTTTCGGGATTCAAAGAGGACAAAGGATGCATGTGGAAGTATGTTTTGAATTATTGGGTGCTATTTAGACAGTCACCTTGGCACATAGGCATTGAAAATAGGCTACCTCTGTTTTATTCCTGTTCCACCTTATGAGTAATATATCTCTGGGCCGATTCATTTCCTCACCTTTAAAAAGAGGGGAAAGATAACCAACTCATAAGATTGCTGAAAGCATTAAATGGGTGATGGCTCTTATTATTACTGAATTATGACTGTTAGTCATTACTAAGACCGGTGTCAAATAATACCTTTGAAGAACTACAGGGAGTTACGGGGACTTCTTAAAAATTAACTTATTGGCTGGGCATGGTGGCTCATGACTGTAATCCTAGCACTTTGGGAGGCTGAGGTGGGTGGATCACCTGAGGCCAGGAGTTCAAGAGCAGCCTGGCCAACATGGTGAATCCCTGTCTCTACTAAAATACAAAAATTAGCTGGGCATGATGGCAGGTGCCTGTAATCCCAGCTACTCAGGAGATGGGAGAATCGCTTGAACCTGGAAGACAGTGGTTGCGGTGAGCCGAGATCACGCCACTGCATCCCAGCCTGGGTGGCTGAGTGAGACTCTGTTTCAAAAAAAAAAAAATTATTGCTTTTTATTAAAATGTATTATTATTTTTGTACATTCATTTGTGTGAGATTCACTTATTTCACAGCCATGAAAATTATACTGTCTTTTAGTTTTGTAATTGATGGTATTTTGACATTTTAGCTTGAGGATTATGAAAAAGAAATACCTCATATAGCTAAGTCTTAATGATTTTGTCACATTTATAGTGTGAAGGCACATCAGGTCAAAGAAGCAATAACAGGCACTAATAAATGTCCAGTACCTTGTAGACATCATAAGATTTTGAGCATGATTTGGTAAGATGAATTAATAAAGTATCTTTCTTTTCTACCAGGTTTTTTAAAAAGTCTATGGTATTTCTTATTATTTAATACCTTATTATTTATCCCCAAAGAATAGGGACAGATAATAACCTTTGGAAAAAGTCTTTCCCAAACTCGTGCTCTTTTACTTTCTTACCTCAGCAGGAGACATTTCTCCTTTTCTCGTATTTGAAAAATTTCTTCCCTTGCATAGCTGCATTTCACATAGAGTTAATCAGGGAAATTGCCTTGAAGCCTATATTTTGGTGGTACTTGGCATAGCTTCAGAGATCAGGCAACAGGATAGAGGCTGGGAATTAGTAAGAAAATGACAACATTCACTGGTACTAAAAAAAAAAAAGATAGGAGATGCTATATATATATGTACAGTGAACACTTGAGTCTAGTTTCCTGGCAACAATGTCCTTTCCTGCACATCTCAGTGTTTCCTGTTTTCTGTGAATTTCCATCTCAATGGCTTTCCTTGTGGTTCATGTTAAATGTTCCAATTACCAGTGGTGCATAACAAACTATTTCTAATTTAGTGGTAAAGAACAACCACCATTTTATTATGATCACAGATTCTGGGGGTCAGAAATTTTGACAGAGCACATTAGGGACTCCTTTTCTCTGCTTCATGTGTGGGGACTTAGCCGGCAATAATGGAACAGCTAGTGGATGGTAACTTGAATGGCTGAAGGCTGGAGTCATCTGGAGGTTACTCCACTTGCATATCTGACTTCTGGATTGGAATGACTTAAATTTGTCTTGCCTTGGAACTATAGACCAGACGCTCTACTTGTGGTCATACAGTTTGGGCTTCCTCTTAATATGGCATGCCCATAGCAGTTGAGTACTTCAAGAGCAAGTGCTGTAGTGAACAAGGTGGAAGATGCACAGCCTTTTGTGACACAGCCTCAGAAGTAACAGTGACACTTCTGTCATACTCTACTGATCGAAGCAATTACAAGCTTATATAGATTCCAGAAAGGGAACATAGATCTCACTTCTCAATTTAAGAGATGCCTTTATTAGTTCATTCTCACAATGCTTTGAAGAAATACCTGAGACTGGGTAGTTTATAAAGGAAAGAGGTTTAATTGAGTCACAATACCACATTGCTGGGGAAGCTTCAGGAAACTTACAATCATGGTGGAAGGCAAAGGAGAAGCAAGGCAACTTCTTCACAGGGCAGCAGGCATGGAGTGAGTGAGTGCAAACAGGGGAAATGCCAGATGCCCATAAAACCATTAGATCTGGTGAGAACTCAGTTATTATCACGAGAACAACATGGGGGATACCACCCCTATGATCCAATTACCTCCACCTGGTCCTGCCCTTGACATGTGGGATTATGGGGATTACAATTCGAGGTGAGATTTGGGTGGGGACACAGCCAAACCATATCATTCTGCCCCTGGCTCCTCCCAAATCTCATGTCTTTTCGCATTTCAAAACCAATTATGCCTTCCCAACAGTCCCCCAAAGTCTTAACTCATTTCAGCATTAACTCAAAAGTCCACAGTCCAAAGTCTCATCTGAGATAAGGGAAGTTCCTTCTTCCTAAGAGCCTATAAAATCAAAAGCAAGCTAATTACTTCCTAGTTAAAATAGGGGTACAGGCATTGTATAAATGCTCCCATTTCATATGGGAAAAACTGGCCGGAACAGAGGGGCTACAAGCCCCATGCAAGTCTGAAATTCAACAGGTCAGTCATTAAATCTTAAAGTTCCAAAATAATCTCCTTTGACTCCATGCCCCACATCCACATCATGCTGATGCAAAAGGTAGACTCCCAAGCCCTTGGGCAGCTCTGCTCCTGCAGCTTTGCAGGGTATAGCACGCCCCCTGCTCCCAGCTGTTTTCATGGGCTGGTGTTGAGTGCTTTTGGTTTTTCCAGGTGCATAGTGAAAGCTGTTGGTGGATCTACCATTCTGGAGTCTGGAGGATGGTGGCTCTCTTCTCACAGCTCCACTAGGCAGTGCCCCAGTGGGGACCCTGTGTGGGGGCTCCAACCCCCAATTTCCCTTCCACGTTGCCATAGCAGAGGTTCTCTGTGAGGGCTCCACCCCTGCACCCCTGGACATCCAGGCATTTCCATACATGCTCTGAAATCTAGGCAGAGGCTCTCAAGCCTCAATTCTTGGTATCTGTGCACCCACAGGCCCAACACCATGTATAAACTGCCAATGCTTGGTGCTTGCACCCCCTGAAGCAACAGTTTGAGCTGTATGTTAGACACTTTTAGCCATGGCTGGGTTGCAGGGCACCAAGTCCTGAGACTGCACAAAGCAGCAAGGCCCTGGAGCCAACACAGGAAACCATTTTTTCCTCCTAGACCTCCTGGGCCTGTGATGGGAGGGGCTGCCATGAAGACCTCTGATGTGCCCTGGAGACATTTTCCCCATTGTCTTGGTAATCAACATTTGGCTCCTTGTTACTTATGCAAATTTCTGCAGCTGGCTTGAATTTCTCCTCAGAAAATGGGTTTTTCTTTTCTGTTGCATTGTCAGGCTGCAAATTCTCCAAACTTTATGCTCTGCTTCCCTTTTAAACATAAGTTCCAATTCCAAGTGTATGGAATATATTTGTGAGTGCATCAAATCGTATGCTTTTAAGAGCACCCAAGTCACATCTTTAATGCTTTGCTGCTTAGAAAGTTCTTCTGCCTGATACCCTAAATCTTTTCTCTCAAGTTCAAAGTTCCACAAATCTCTAGAGTAGGGGCAAAATGCTGACAATCTCTTTGCTAAAGCACAGCAAGAGTCACCTTTATTCTGGTTCCTAACAACTTCCTCATCTCCATCTGAGACTGCCTCAGCCTGGACTTCATTGTCTATATCACTAGTAGCATTTTGGTTAAAACCATTCAACAAGCCTCTAGGAAGTTCCAAATTTCCCATGTCTTCCTGTCTTCTTCTGAGCCCTCTAAATGGTTCCAACCTCTACCTGTTACCGAGTTCCAAAGTCACTTCCACATTCTCAGGTATCTTATAGCAAGGCCCCACTACCTCGGTATCAATTTACGTATTAGTCTGTTCTTACATTGCTATAAGGAAATACCTGAGATGGGTAATTTATAAAAGAAAGAGGCTTAATTGATTCACAGTTCAACATGGCTGGGGAGGTCTCAGGAAACTTTCAATTATGGTGGAAGGTGAAGGGGAAGCAAGGCACCTTCTTCCCATGTCAGCAGGACAGAGTGAGTGAGCGCAAGCAGAGGAAATGCCAGATGCTCATAAAAACATCAGATCTGGTGAGAACTCACTCACTATCATGACAACAGCATGGGGGATACCATGCCCATGACCCAATTACCTCCACCTTGTCCAACGCTTGACACGTGGGTTTATGGGAATTAAAATTTGGGGTGAGATTTGGGTGGGGACACAGAGCCAAACCATATCAATGTCAAAGGATTTTCAGCTATGTTTTAAACTTGCCTCAGTACACAACTTTACGTTAACAACTGAGGATCAGGAATGAACACATATAATTGATTTCCCTGGATGGCACATCTCAAGAAAGAAATCTTGGTAAGAAAAGTGAGATGAGATATGCAATCTTTAAGAGTCAGTATTCTGTCTTAGAAAGGACTTTACATAGTGGGAATCGATGGGTCAATATCCTGTATTCTCTGCTTGAGACTTTTGACTTTGAGAATCAGTTTTCCTGTGAGGACTAATAAAAAACCTGTCAACCTTCATGGTTGGCATGAAATCCAATGAGATAACCTGAAGACCAATATACCAGCTTCTATTAACATGCCATATCATCAAGGCAAACCTAAGGCAATAAAAAATCAAAAGTCAATAGTCAACTGATACTCAGTCTTGATTTAGCTCAATGAATCACAGGTTCCCTTTCTAGAAGGGAAACTATGACAATCTGATGGCATTGTGAAGTTCAATTTTGTGAGAAGCCCTGTGATGCGCAATTGCATGTGTGTCACTGTTTTAAAGACCTACGTCACTCTTCAGGCAAATCATATATTATGACTACATTTCAGGTTTATCTATAACATAAAGGATAGCAATATAATAGCAAACATTTATTAAGAGCTTACTGTGTGCCAGGTATTACACTAAGCACTTTATATGGATTTAATCCTTAACAACCATATTATTATCTACTTGTTAGGATGGGGAAACTGAGGTTTACAGAGATTATGTACTTGATGAAGATCTGGAAGCTTATAAGAAATAGAGCTGGAATTTGAATCCACCTTGAATACATTATACTGCCTAATGACACAAAACTTTGATAGCCTTTTTAGGATTATGCTAATATGGCATCAAATTAAATTCTGATCCATTCTAATTAACTTAATTCCATAAATATGTATTGGACAGCTTTTCAATCTAACCGAACTAATATTTAGTGAGCGGTTAATATAAACTAGGCACTGGTATATACATTTAACAAGATGAAAATTTCACCTTCAAAGAAAACACACAGTTAATCAGAAGAGAAAAACACATAAATGACTGTAATATTGGGTGGTAAATTCCAACATAATTTTAAACATTGTATTGGTGCAAGTTAGAAAAACAAACCAGACACAAAATCTGTCTGCAAATACTTGTAATTTACTTGAAGAACTTAATTCTTATACAGTTTCATCAGGTAATTTAGATAAATAGCTACTCTATGCCCAGATTTATGGTGACTGATAATTATTGATAATTTCTTTAGATTTGAAGATGGTACTACTTGATAAAATAGTCAGATTTTCTTTTATGTGAATGTGGCCAAAACTGTCATAAAATAACCAGTGGTGCTTTTTATAAAAGAATTACTAGCAACACTTGACTAAAGCCACTACACAGAGCGACTGTCATTGTGGGTACATGGTTTTTAATTTTGAAGTATTAATCACAGAAGAGGAAATTCATCCCTGAGAATGGTCTGTTGGATAGTTAATCATTTCTGTTAGTTACATTTTGACCCATCATCCATCCATCCATCCATCCACCCATCCATCCACCCATCCATCCACCCACCCATCCATCCTATCCATCTAATATCCATCCCACTCCATAGGTGTATAATGGGCATGTTAAAGTTAGCTGTCAGCTATGTGCTGAAGCTGGCTCATACAGGCTTGTGAGTAATAATTGTTAAATTTCTAAGCATTTTACATACTTTCCATACAACCATTAAAAAATCAACTTTTATAAACTTAAAATTAAATAAATTATATTAAAAATAAAGTTAATAGATACTCAAAACTCATCAGTTCCTAATTATTTTACTACATTTTAGTGTTGTCTGTGCTCTTAAGGTTATTTACATTTACTCTGTCTGTATGATGCAGATACTACGTAATAGTGTGTTACTTTGCATCTCTTCTCAACTCCACATTCAGTGATATTATGTTAACAGCTTGAAATCAACTGCAGTGGGAATATTTACACCGTGGGAATTAGCACTAACACACTTTGGTATATGTCATGGAGTAAAAATGGCTGGAATGAGTGTTTTAAGTAATGGAGATCTTTGAAAGTACCACTTTGTTCTTTATTTTGTAATGCATATCTTTTACTTTACTAAACATTTTAAATAAACCAAGTACATTTGATAATTTTAAAAAGTAAATTATCTCTGGAGGCTTTATAATTTTAAAAAATCTAGTCTGATACACGGTCATACTCTGTGTGGCAACCCCTTTAACTCTTAACTTCTTCCGGTAGTTGTTTTAGCATTTAGAAAGAATATTCCTACATTGCTTTTATCTGAATTACCTGTTATGGACATTATATATTAACTTTCTATTATGATAGATGAAAACATTGCTTTTTCAAATTCCATTATTTTCTCCATACACTCTTCCTAAGTCAGTGACATCAGCATTTTTAGTTAAATCTATCATTGCTTATCTTATTATTACTATATGTATCTGGGTAACTATAGATACAATAGTATGCCGATTTTTTCCCTTTTTATAAAGCATTTTTCCCTAAATTTAATAATTGAGTACTTGTTTAATGTTTTTAGTTGCATAATTCTCTTTATCCCCATAAAATGTAGTTCACTGTATATTAGCCATTATCACTGTTGTTGATTCTCGTATTGTTCTCCATATATACTTAGTTATTTAAAATGTTTTATCACATCATCTATTTTAACAATTCTTGAAGTCCTCTCTCCTGAAGTCTTCCACCCTTCTCCAACTGCTACTGATTTCTCTCTAGGCTTGCTGCATAGGTGTCATCCTAGGACATAGTTAGGCTTTGTGGTTGGAGCTATTGTTGGGAAAACATGTCTTCCTCTTTCTTAGTTTAAGCCATTTTTTATTGTATTACACCTACCAGTAGCTTTCTAAGAAAGGGTATATAGTAGATAGATTTTATGACACATCAAAATACTTCATTCTACCACATTTGATTCTAGAAATTGAAATTGAAATTATTTTCTCTTGGAATTTTGAAGGCATTTCTTTGTATTCTAGTAGCCCATGTTGCTATTGGGATATCTGTGGTCCAGTACGTTTGTATTTGACCTTTTTTTAGTCTCTGGAAACTTTGTGGATTTTCTGCTTTTTCCTGATATTATAACATTTAAAAATAATATTCCTGTGTGTTTGTGTGTGTGTGTATTATAATTCAATGAGCTGGGCATTTATTGAGCATTTTCATTTTCCTCTAGTTTTACCATGGAAGAGTTCCTGGACTTTATCTTCCAACTATGTTATTAATTATTATTATTTTTTTAATTTCACTCACCATATTTTTAAATGGTCTAAAAGGTCTTTACAAATCACTTGGTTGTAAATGTCTCATATGCTACATTTATTTATATTTTACTCTATTTCCATTCTTAGAGTCTTTGTGTTATAATAGGTGATTTCTATACCATTTATTTATTACTATAACATATATGGATAATTAAATTTACTTTTTTAATTTTATATTATACTCTTTACTTTTCATTCATTTTGCTAAGTACTTCATGGGATTCTTCAATCTGCACATGATGCCTCTAAAAATACAGCATGATATTCAAGTTTGTTAATTTCATAATCTAAGGATTCAATCATCTTTTATTTTCCCATACTTCTTCCACCAACCCTACAGTCTTAGAATAATACTAAATTTATATTGTATGTTTAGTAAATATTGTTTATTAGACATTCCACTGTGCACTTGCTATATAGAGACTGTCAGGAACCTAATTTATTTAATTTCCTCCAGTACATGGTGGTGTTAGATATTATAAAAATATTTACTGAATGAATCAATGGCAGGATTAGCTCATCCAGAGAATAGCTTTAAAAAATAACTTATTGCTCCAAATTAATTTTTACTTGTGCAGTAGATGGTGGAAACACATTAGGAAACCCTTCCTCTTAGGCTGTAACATTATGATCTTGGAGAAAGGTAGTTGTAAGCAAGCACTTCTTTAGTTATATTTTTTTGAAAGGAGATGCTATTTTCACTTACCACTGTACTATTATTTTTCTCTGGGAATATTTCTCCAATTTATAATAGATGTCAGTGGGGGAAAATAGTATTTCCTTCATAGAAATTTATTTTATGATCAAAATCGATAGAGCCTATCTGTTCAATAAAAACAAGTTGCCTACAAAAAGACGATAACAAAAATATCTATTACACAATTTTCATTCTTCTTATTACATTTCTTTTAAACAAGAGATGGTTAAATAACACAGCTTAATTTAGTCCTATTTTGCTTTTTTTTTTTTTCAGGCTCCCTTTAATTAGCCTGATGAAGTGAGTTTTAGATCATAAGTCTCATAGGAGTCTGAGCCAAGTTCCCAGCTCATCAATGTCTCAGTCTTTCCAAATTTCTCATAATGTTATTTAAATGTAATACAGGTCTGTATATCAAGCTTTTTAGAAAGAAGAGATCTAAGACAGTTCAGATTTAGAATTTATGGATCCAAAATCATGTGCAGAGTTTATTAAGTCTTTTTATGTGAAAGTGATTAGCACTTGTAACTAGGCAGATACTTGGCAAAGTTCTACACAATTATCTCCAGGATTGATCTAGAGAATTATTTCACTTGTCTATCTCTTATTTTCTTCTTTCACATCTCCTTCCTTCATGTTTAAATGAGAAGTGACAAATTAACCCCTAACTCAGTCGTTGACAAAGTTTCCATCACTTTTCCTGGTTTTCCTGAGACTGGGTGTAGTTTGACTGAGTAATACGGCAAGATAGAGAAGTAGGCAAGGAGGTAAGAATAAGGTGAATGGGTTGCATGTATGCTGGTCCTCAAAAGGATCATCAATAGCCTGTGCCACTCCTGGCCTACTGTTTATTATGGATTTAAATAGACATTATCGTCTTGGGATTGCCATCTGGTTCTAACACTAGACTATAAGGGCTTTGAGAAGATCACATTGCCCATCACCCTGTCTGCTTTCCTTTCTTCCCTGCAAACATCACTGTGTACCAGACACCATTCTCGTGAACAAAACAGATAGGAGGATACTGACAGAGACAACATACACATTAGATAATTTATATGTCTAATATCTTAGAAAGTGACAGGTACTGTGAAGGAAAGTAAAGCTGAGAAGGGCATAGAGAATCCTGGAAACAGGGAGTGAGACCACAGGTTTTATCCAAACCTACTGAATCAGAACATCCAAGGATGTGAGGAGCAGGTATCTAAATTACAAATGAGCTCCCCAAGGGATTATGACACCTTCCAAAGTTTGAGAATCACTGATATAAATAAAATTCCTTGTGCTGCACTGCATCTCAGAAGTAGAGAAAGAGCATTCTTCTCCAAAAGCTTCATATTTTTTTTTGTTCATTGAGGCTGTTTTTTTCTGTTTGAGTTTCCTTTGAGCATATATTGAAGGCTTCTTAGAATCCACATGCTCATTTCCATGGCTCCCGTGCTGATAGCTGAAGGGTGCTTTTCAGAGGAGATGGGGAAGTCAAGAATACCAGAAATCTCAGTCTGTAGGAAAGACACACTGGTTGGTTTCAGTAAAATAAATCAGAGAAGATACTTAAACAATGAGTTATAACAAAATAATTAACTGTCATATTACTTTATTGAATTACACAGGAGTGCTTTCATTTGACATGAGGATGCAATTCAATTTCCTTTTGCTAAAAGACATGCAGAGTTATAAATTTTTATTATCTTTATCTGTGGAAACAGACTACTCTGCATGGCTCTAACATCATACAACCAGTTGACTAAACTTTTGGACATGGCAATAAATCTTGATGAACTTTGTCCAGTGGTCTTACTAGTGAAAGATTAAAAACTAACATATAAAGCAAATGACTTAATAAGTAACCCCTGCTCTTCAGAGGCAGAATGATTGGGGCTTTAGGCAAAAACAATGGAAGCACAAATTTTTCCTTTTAGCTTCTCTTAGCAACCTTGGGTTTCTGTCTTAGTGGATTCTGTAGTCCTCCCGTGAGCTAGATGTGTGTGCAGGGACATAAGAAAATGCTTTTTCTGCTGACCTCTATGTGAGCCATGGGAAACAGGATTGAAATGAAGGCAGGAAATAAATAAGACATTTCCCTTTAGTTTTATATAAGAGTAGTTTATTAATTTACTCTTAAAAAATTACTATAGGCCAACACTGTTTTTATATTTTAAGCATATAAGTTGAACACACTCCAATTTAACTTTGGCTCCAAACAAAAGGGCATCCTGGGTTTTAAACTGATGAAGCAAATACATTCTCATTTTGCTCTAGAGAGCCTGGTCCTTTTTGAACGATCTCTTAACTTTGAAATTGCTGGTATTTTGTTATAGATGTTGAGGAGCTAAATAAATAAGTGAGAAGCATCTTGACATTACGAAAAAAAGTTCTGAAGTTGGGTTCCTGAGTTTGAATTATTAATTACTTGTATAGTCTTTTGGGGTCTCCATTTTTCATTGGCAAAAACTGGAGTAATACATAAGTCCAAGGACTGTTGGAAGAATGAAATAAAACAACATGCAAAATCCTCTGGCACAGTATCTAGCACATATAATGTACTCAAGGGATGCTAGTTCATATAATATGGCATGACATGGTGTTATGCTTCATCCAAGGATCAGTGTACATTATTCCAGTTGGTGAAGAGTTCTACGTCTGTAGCAGGAGTTTCATATGAGAGAATTTATTATCAATGATTTTGGTAGAAATTTTACACTAACTGGGAACTTTGGATACTGTACTTGCTGCATATAATTATACCAACAAAATCCCAAGACCCCTGGAGCAATATACCTCAAGAGAGTATCAACACATTTTAATAATTTTCTTCATAAAGTGAAGATCTGCTTCAAAAGATAACATCAAGACTGTATTTTTCATTCTGTTACTTCCTAAGATAAAAGAAAATACTGATCAGCGTGTATGGGTAGGTAGCAGAAGAGGCTGATGTGTGTGTGTGGGAAGGGACGGAACATTTCTCAGGATTCTAGTTTTAAAGGTTTATCGACGATGTGAAGAACCAAAGTATAACAAATTTATACTTTGTAAGTATAAACTTACAAAGATCACAAGGCTGACTGTGAGAGTAAGTATAAACTTACAAAGATCACAAGGCTGACTGTGAGAATACAATTGTTCTATGTGGACTTACTTTTTTAAGCCTGAGAGGCTGTTAACAACTTGGGGATCTGTCCTGGACAGCAGCAGGTTTACTGTTATGAGATCCTGTTGGTCTCTGGCTGCCAGAGTCTGTGTGATAGCAGACTGAAATTGATCTCCATCCTTGCAGACAAAGAATAGCCTTATTGGCTCGAGCCAGGACCTCTCAAGAACATGGGACGGCCGGGCAAGGTGGCTCATGCCTGTAATCCTAGCACTTTGGGAGGCCAAGGCGGGCAGATTGCCTGAGCTCAGGAGTTCGAGACCAGCCTGGGCAACAACAGTGAAACCCTGTCTCTACTAAAATACAAAAAATTAGCTGGGTATGGTGGCATGAGCCTGTAGTCTCAGCTACTCAGGAGGCTGAGGCAAGAGAATTGCTTGAACCCAGGAGGCAGAGGTTGCAGTGAGCCGAGATTGCGCCACTGCACTCCAGCCTGGACAACAGAGTGAGACTCCGTCTCAAAAAAAAAAAAAAAAAAAAAAAAAGAACATGGGATGGGATGGACATACTCTCTTGCTCCTTCTGATAATTGAGGAAATATACTTGTCCCTGGGGCAGAACATTGGCTTAATTGTGGGACAAGAATATGAAACGTTCGCCTTCCAAACCAGCAGAACCTTCGTGTGATTGTGACTATCCAGCTACAACACTTGCCTTTCCATGCTACAAATCACTAAGCTTGGCACCCACATGTCAGACTAAGAAGACAAAGAGTTATAATGTGAGGGTAATTTACAAATTGTTTCTTTGACAAAAAAGAGTCTCAGAGGGTATCTCATAAAATATTGTATTATTCCCTTTTCTTACATGCTCTTTTTACATAGAATTGAGCCAGCAAAGCTCTTTTAAAATTAATCTTTATTTATTAAACATTTCATTAACCCTTTTTCACACTAAATGATTAGAAGTGGGAAATGAATTAGCACAATTCTAAAACAATACATTATTCCTGAATCTGCTAATTTCACAAGTGTCACTACTGTACTTTCCACAGTCCATTAATAAGACAGTATTGTCCATTCAGATTTGGTTTTTAATCACTCCTTGGGAGAAATGTTTATTACAGTTGGATCTTTTTTTTGAAAAACTTCCCTATGGGGCTAAAATATAAACTTACAAAGAGTCACAGAACCAATTCGTCTTAAGGCATTTTTTTTCCTATAAAGGATGATAGTCCTATTCGGTAAAGCAATTTACTCAAAATGTATACAAGGTAGAGCACTGTGGGAGGGGTGAAGGGAAGGAGAGGGAAGACCAGCAACATAAACTGAGTCTGACTTCACATTTAACAGGCCCCCAGACTCCCTGAGGAGGGTCACGCATGAACAGAACATAATTACATGATAAAGCAAGGCAGCGTTAGAGGATTTCCTTTCAGACAAATCGTGTTGGCAGAAAGAGTTCTAGGAATGGATGCCAGCCAGCTAGATCAGTCTCTTGGTGTAAGTGGAGTTAAAAATACTTTTTCCTGAGGCCTTTGGGCATGGCTGAAAACTAAAGGTGAATGGACTCAAACAGGTGGAAAATGATGTGAGTTTTATGGACTTGAACTTGGCATAGCAACACTTCTAAGGACTTGTAGATCCTAAGTGCCACGGTGGAGGTTTTCCTCAAACTGTGCTTAACGATGTTGTCTCTTAGGAGACTGACACAGTCCCTTCATATACCTAAGTGGGAATCTTTTTCTCTGTAACTAAAGCCAAGTTTGTATCAATGATGAACTGAATAGTACGGTGACTTTGTTTCTCTGCTGTATACTACTAATAGGGAACAGTGAATAACTCTAACTCATGAAAGCAAGCATTCTGGGAGATACCAGAGTGAGATAACAGGACTGATTCTCATTTTCTTTCATCCTATGCCTAACGGCAAATGTGCAAATCCCTACCTGGCAATAAAATATGTGCTCTTTAAAAATAACCTGAATTACTCTGAAAGTCAAATTGAAACCTCACTGACTTCACCTCTTATTAAAAGAAGTTCCTAGACCAAATCTGGAAAAAATGCTTCATTTTCCTTGACTCTGGAGTCAGTAAAAGAAGACCTTTTCAGAGATTGTTAGAAGTTAAAAAAATCTATAGAGCACAATAATATCTCAACAAATTCAAGATTCGGTGGTTCTAACACCTGTGGGTCTTAGAATATTGCTACTGAGCATACACTTTAACAAGGCAAGAGACAAAAACTTATTTTTTAAGTTATGGAAAGTTCATTCCTCTTGGCATGCCTGTCTATATCTCAGAGCTCAGTGATAAAAACCAATGAACCAGAACATATTTTCAGCTGGAGTCATATGTAGGGCTCCCTGACACCATGTGAAGCTCTGTGTCTATTAGCAACTAAAACTATGTGTCCTTGTGTGACTTAGCCATGTCCTATAGAGGTTGATATCATTTCAAGACACTATGGAAGCATGGCACACAGCCCAGCCTGAATGATGTAGAGAGGTACCATCAATGCCTTCTTGGCTCTTCCTTGTCACTAGCTCTCAGGGCAGAGCCTGGTGTTCCATTAGAGAGCTAGGCCACCTTGCCTGATGTTTTTGATTACAGTGTTTATTTATTATTTATATCCCGTCACTTGAAAAAATTTTGAGATGGTTTTGAGACTCTTTAGGTCCTTATAAAGATGGTTTTTGCTTGAAGGAGGAGGCAGTAACACTTTTCCTTTCAAACCTTGACCCTGACTCTGAAAAAAGGCCAGAGATTTTTGTTAATATAAGGGAACATGCGGCAACATCATTCTGAAATAACAAAATAAGGTGATAATGCTCATAGTCATTAACAACTAAAACTAATAGAGAATCCTTTCAATAAGGTACCCCTTACATTAACATAAAACTTTTAACAGAAAATTTATTAATATATGCTTTGTTATTGTTTGGAATTTGGAAGTTTCTTTTAAGCTTTTTTTCTTAGACATGATTTCTACTATTAAGAAAATAGCCCTCTCCAATTTGCATTCATGTAGTACTTTCTACAGCATATAGTAAAAAATGTAGAACTTACCTGTATTTAAATAAAAATTTCTTCATTTCTCTAAATGAAGAAAACTAAAGGGAATTCACTGTTTTCTTATTGAAATGAAAATATATATTGAAGTTTAGGAAAAGTTTATCCTCAAGTAAGTTTCATTGCAAAGTTCTAGACATTTTATTTTGCTCACAAAATTTTGTGTCACCATAAGAGGTTTAAAAGACATAAAAGCAAAGCAAAGAGGAGAGAGAGAAAATATATGTCAGTAAATTACTGAAAGAAAAATCCACATTTCACATCTGGTTATGTGAGGAAACACCTATTCTCCCCTGTGGACCATTGAAACAAATTGTTGAGAACAGAACCTTGTCTTGGTAAGAGGAAAATATATATTCCACACTTTAGGTATAAGTTGAAAATGATAAACAATGTAACTGGGGAAGAAATGGGAGAAATTTTGTTGCTTCCATATGAAAGGACTGCATGTCCATGCCATACAGATTGGGGGCCTTGGGGGAGGCACAGAAGGAAAGAAATTCATCTAGTAACAGAGGCATGACAGCACCCAGGGTCAGAGCCAAGGTCTTCCTCTAAAGACACACATGATGATGAATATGTTGACTTTATCACTCTGCTTTTTGGGAAGCATGACAAATGCAGTATTTCTCTGTGTATTCATCCCTCAGTTTCTGGAAATTTTACTTCCAGAGATTAATGATCCATCACCTAATTTATCAGGCCAATGGATTTATTTTTGAAAGACTTGCTAGATGATCCTGATTTAAGTCATCCACTTAAAAGTCCAATTCACAGCCTCAGTTTCATTATTAAGCTATAACCACTGCATCCCCAAATGGGTTTGCTGGTCATCTCCATAGTGAAGGCCAGTGAGATTCTTTCCCTTTTATTGCTTTCATGTCTAGCAATACCTATGCCTGTCCCAACCACGCCCACGAGAAGCCTACCTCTGGCAATGATGCTCAGTCAACAAACTCAAAGGGATGTATGTCTTCCATGGAACCCTGTGACACTTCAAATGCTTACCTGTCTATATTAGATTAGTACTATTTTAGAAGATTAGACTTAGAAGTAATTTTTAGTATATTAGGATTATTAATAGTATATTATTTTCATAGTATATTAGATTATAAATTCAGCAATATTTGAATACTTACTATTTGCCAGACACTTTTTTAGTCCTATGAACAATACCATTAACAAAACAGACACAAATCTTTGTGATTGTAGAAGGTTATATTCTACTGGGGGAAAACAAAATAAACCATAACCATAATAAATAAGTAAGTTAACTAGGTGCTAAGTGCTATGAGCAGAAAAAGGAGAACAGGACAAGTAAATCAGTAGTGCTGGAGGGGGTGGTTATAGGAGGTAGGTGACAGTTTAAAATAAGGTAATTGACCAGGCATGGTGGCTCACGCCTGTAATCCCAGCACTTTTGGGAGGCTGAGGCGGGTGGATCACGAAGTCAGGAGATCGAGACCATCCTGGCTAACATGGTGAAACCCTGTTTCTACTAAAAATACAAAAAATGAGCCAGGTATGGTGGCACGCAGCTGTAGTCCCAGCTACTCGGGAGGCCTAGGCATGAGAATCACTTGAACCCAGGAGGCTGAGGTTGCAGTTAGCCGAGATCACGCCACTGCACTCCAGCCTGAGTGACACAGTGAGACTCCATCTCAAAATAAATAAATAAAATAAGGTAATCATCATTGAGAAGTTGAGTTTTGAGCAAAACTTGAAGAAGATAAGGGAGTTACCTGGGGGACGAAAGATCCAAGTAGAGGGAACAACCCGTACAAAGATCTTAAGGCAAAGAGCTATTTGGCACGTTCAACAAACAGCCAGGATGCTCTGCGGCTGGAGCAGAGGGAGCTGGGGGAGACTGATGAAAGATAAGGTCAGCAACTAGAAGAGGCGCAAGATGCAGGGAGCTGATCATGAGTGTCTGGTAGGACATAGTAAGGATAGGGGCTCTTACTGTAAGTGAAATTGGAAGCTATGGTCGGGTTTTAATCAGGAGAATGGCATGATTTGTGTTGTCATCTGAATGTGTGCCTCCAAAATTCATGTTGTAATTGAATCCCCATTTTGCTGGTATTAAGATGTGGAGTCTTTTAAGACGGGCTCCAGCCTTATGAGTAGAATTAGTATCCTTATAAAAGAAATTGAAGGGGGCTGCCTTCTCCTTCTGCCGTGTGAGGACACAGAGAAGGTGCCATTGGTGAGGAACAAGCCCTCACCAGACACCCAATCTGTTGGATCCTTAATCTTAGACTTCCCAGCCTTCAAAATTTCTATTGTTTTGATTATTTATAAATGCACCCAGTTTAAGATTTTTTTTTGTAGCAGCCTGAACAGACTAAGGCAATCTCACAGTTTAAAAGAATCACTCTACCTATGTAAGAATAGAGCACAAAGTGGGAAGGGGAGAGGCTGAAAATAGTCAAGAGACGACTTCAGTAACCCAGCTACCAGATGATGTACCCTGGACCTGGCAATAACAGTGGTGGTAGCAAGAGCTATTCTAAAGTTTCTGCCCAAAGGATTTCCTAATGGATTTGATTACATAGACCCTGCAGGGCTCCAAGCCACACCCTTTGGGCAGTAATGCTCTAATACTTTTTGCCTTTGGTTATGTCTGTTTGTAGTTCAGATTAGATAAGCCTACAGTCCCATTCCTTCACTTTTTTTTGTTCATTTATTTCTAATTACGTATTTGTTGTACATTTTATTTCTTGTTAATGATCTTCTTATTCTGACACTTAGAGAAAAAAGAATGAAAAATACTATTTGTTACAATTATACAAACCATTTCCTGTGCTGGGTATTTAAATGCATATAATGGATTAACTAATATTTATTAAATACTTACTACATGTCAGGTTCTGTGTTAAATACTTTTATACAAATCATCTTTTTTAATCTTCTCAACAATCATGTGAAGCTACTATTACCTCTTCTTACAGATGAAGATGCTGAGGCTTAATAAAAGGTAAATCAGCTGCCTAAGATTATCTCATAAGCAGAAAAGCAGGGAATCAAACTCAAGTTTATCTGGAGCCCTTAAGTATTTTGCTTTTCATTTAATCTTCATTCCTGATGACCCAAAATGCTGTGAGGTTAAGAATTATTGTCTTCATGTAAGTTAAACAACTTTCTAGTAAATTATTGTTATTTTCTCTTGCAAATCATCTATTTGTATGTGTGTGCAGACTCTCTCCAATTGGATTATTAGTTCCATGAATCTAGAAAATCTAGAATCTAGAATAGCATATGGTGTATGCTATTGAACATACACCATAGTTAGGGTTGAGTATAGTTAGGGTTGAGTAAATATGAGTTGATTGATTTTGTGCTGCGTTTTTTCATGGGATCACCTTACACCATATGCAGGGGTCAGATTCTACCTCTTTGAGTTCCCCAGAGTACACATTGCATAGTTTGTGTTCCAGAAATGTTATTCACAGCATATGTTTCTTACTTAATCTATCTCTGTTATTCTACAATGACTCTTTCAGCTCTCACCCAGCTATTTTGTCTGCTATGTCTCTTATGAAAAGAAACAAACACTATTTTTTAATAGAACATTTTTATTGTACTCCCACTTGGGAAGATAAAAATGAATCTGACATCAGACCTCAAACAACAGCAGTGTTCACATGGACTTAGTTTTGCTATCTTGGCCAATCTCATGAGATCTGTAAATTTATAGTATTCTTAACCCCTTCAACAGGTTCCTTCAGGGGAGTCAGTGAGAACTAGATAGTAATTCTAGCCGGGTCAAGAAAACATGGACAGGTGTCATGGCTGATAGAAGAGGCATAAGCCTATCTGCTAAATGGGGAGTTGGAGGCTCAGGTTTGGTTCCTGAAGAGCATAGAAAGAGCTTGTAAAGAATTATATGGCATTTACACACTAGCTTCTTGCCCTTTTTTTTGAATATTTTCTTTATTCATGGACCATAGTGGAAATCTCCACTTCTGCAAAACAAAGAAACAAGCAAATAATAACTGCAAGAAGACACTAAAAAGTACACTCCTCTTTTACTTAATGGATTATTCTTCTTCCATTTTCCTATCTTAATATTGATTTCCTTTGTATTGATTTCCATTTGTATTAGCCCACATGGCTGCCAAAACAAAATAGCACAGGCTGTATGCTTTAAAGAACAAAATGTATTTCTTACAGTTCCAGAGGCTGAAGTCTAAGATCAAGGGGCCGGCCAATTCAGTTGCAGGTGAGGGCTCTCTTCCTGGCTTGCAGATAGCTGTCTTCTCACTGTGTTCTCATGTGGTCATTCCTTGTTCTGTTGAAGTGGAAAGAGAAGGAGAAAACTCTGGTCTCGCTTTCTCTTCTTACAAGGACACAAAGCCTGTCTGATTAGGGCTTCACCCTATGACCTCATTTACCTCTAATTACTTCAGTAATTGTCCTCGGTCCAAATGAAGTCACACTGGAAGTCAGGGCTTCAATCTATGAATTTTGTGGTGGTGAGGGGTCAGGGAGAACAGGCAGAATTTAGTCTATGGCAGGGTCTATTTTTGTGGTTTATCTTGAAACTGGGATATGTCTATTTATTGAATTATTGAGTATAAATTTTCTTTATCTGTAATATAATGCTCTGACTAGTAATTATTTAGGAGTGATAGATCTATTTCTGGAATAGCTGAGTGCTGTATTACTCCCATTTTAAGATGAAATAAACAATAACTTTAATGATGAAAGCAGATGTTTAAAATTAGCCTTGGGGGACTGACTGCTTCTGTTCAGGGTGTCATCAGCAAATCTTATTAACAATTTAGGAGGTGCTTAAAATAATAAGTTAAATCTATTCTATTATTAGCTCTAGAATAGAGACAATTGTTTTCAAGTATACTAATTTCCTTTATTGAACACATATTATACAATACTAATATTCCAAACTAGCTTATAATAACAATTTAATCAAATTATCATATTCCTTGCTTTATAATGTAGTCAAAATAAAGTCATGTTACTAAGCCAGCAATGTTAGGAGGAAAAAGAGTATTGTTGATCCCTATTTAGACATTAACTTACTAAAACCATCTTCACCTCATCTAATCTATGTCTATATGACTTTCTAAATAACAGATTGGTTTTAGTCAATTTAAGGAAGTAGCTGGCTAGTACAATAAGCGGGAAAATAAGAGTAAATAGTTTTTTGATTAAATACATGTGGTAATGACTGTACTATTTATTATTCTACTTGAGTCAGACACATAAATTGTAATTTTCAAGGTACATTTGGAATTTGAGCTGCCAAAATCAGAGGCTTTTGATAGAATCCTGGAAAAGGAAGGAACTATAGAATCTTCAGGCTCAACCCTTTCTTGGTGATCATGGCCATTACTCCAGAGGGACAGTAGGAATGTAGGAGCTCATGCCTAGCAGAATCTGGACTAGAATCTGAGTCTAGGTCTTTTCAAGTTATATCAAGCTTCTCACCTATATCACCCCACTGTAGATTTGGATTATATCCAAAATATACTGCAATGTTCTCTACCTAATGAAACATTGCTAAACAAGGGTTACCTGAGATATTTCTTGACTAAAAGGGTCTAAATATGCATGGAAATATTCTTCAAAGAATATGAGAACTAGCCTTTCTTTGTTGTCCTGAGAATTGTGTAGGCGCAATGCCTAAAAATTGCTATATTAATTTTTTTAGAAAATTATAATTACAAAAAGTTATAATTTTTAAGTTTAAAGAATTTTCTGGAAATAGTATCTTATGTTTTATTTACTAGGTCAATTCCTACATCTTAACTATTTTGCTTTACATTTCTTTCTTGAATTTGTGAAATTTCCCTTCCTTCTCTCACTAGTCATAAAGAGTTTACTCTTGCTAACCAGGTACCACGATTAGTGCAGGTAAGAAAGCCACGTGTGCTTTTGCACATGTCTTCAGCAAGGAATTGGTGAATTGTCATCATTTTCTTTTGAAGTCTATGGAAATACTACAAGAATATACCTGCATATTATATTTTTAAAATCATACTGCGACGATTTCCTACTTGTATGTAGCATGTGATGTGAAACAGCTGAAGTGTTTCAAAAATGGGGCAGATATATTAGAAAACACATGTACGTGAAATGCTTAAATTTTGTATTGAGTTTGATAAATAGCATGAGACCTTGGGAAAGTCAGAATGTTTACTAATCTGTGGTATGTCAAGAGTGTTGTCATATTTATGTGGTTGCACTGTCAAATTTGAGCATGAGAAATGGCTTGGTTTTCTCATAGAGAGTGGTAGAGTCAAAACATTGTGTTATTGAAGAATTAGAATTAAGACATGGTATATACTAAATGTATGTATATATACACACATATACATATATACATACACACAACTGTACATATATATATATACACAAATCCACATACATATATAAATATATATAACCTATTATGCATAAACAAGAATACTAAATTCTGTGAGAGCTACAAAAAAGAATAAGGCTGTCCTGGGGAACATGGGATGTAAATATTTAAATAACATTGGTTAGAAAATGTTCAGGCCTTGGTCAGGTTTGTCGAAGATCAGATGGATGTAGATGTGTGGTGTTATTTCTGAGGCCAAAACAAGCAATGGGGAAAGGATTCCCTATTTAATAAATGGTGTTGGGAAAACTGGTTAGGCATATGCAGAAAACTGAAACTGAATCCCTTCCTTACACTTTATACAAAAATTAACTCAAGATGGATTAAAGACTTCAATGTAAAACGTAAAATCATAAAAATCCTAGAAGAAAACCTAGCCAATAACATTCAGGACATAGGCGTGGGCAAAGACTTCATGACTAAAACACCAAAAGCAATTGCAACAAAAGCCAAAATTGACAAGTGGAATCTAATAAACTAAAGAGCTTCTGCACAGCAAAAGAAACTACCATCAGAGTGAACAGGCAACCTACAGAATGGAAGAAAATTTTGCAATCTAGCCATCTGACAAAGATTTAATATCCAGAATCTACAAGGAGCTTAAACGAATTTACAAGAAAAAAAAAACCATCAAAAAGTGGGCAAAGGATATGAATAGATACTTCTCAAAAGAAGACATTTACATGGCCAAACATTTGAAAAAAGCTCATCATCACTGGTCATTGTAGAAATGCAAATCAAAACCACAATGAAATACCATCTCACACCAGTTAGAATGGTGATCATTAAAAAGTCAGGAAACAACAGATGCTGGAAAGGATGCGGAAAAATAGGAATGCTTTTACACTGTTGGTGGGAATGTAAGTTAATTCAACTATTATGGAAGACAGTGTGGTTGGTGGTTCCTCAAGGATTTACAACCAGAAATACCATTTGACCCAGCAATCTCGTTACTGGGTATATACCCAAAGGATTGTAAATCATTCTACTATAAAGACACGTGCACATGTATGTTTATTGCAGCACTATTCACAATAGCAAAGACTTGGAACCAACCCAAATGCCCATCAATGATAGACTGGAAAAAGAAAATGTGGCACATATACACCATGGAATACTATGCAGCCATAAAAAAGAATGAGTTCATATCCTTTGCAGGGACATGGATGAAGGTGGAAACCATCATTCTCGACAAACTAACAAGGGAACAGAAAACCAAACACTGCATGTTCTCACTCATAAGTGGGAGGTGAACAATGAGAACACATGGACACAGGGAGGGGAATATCACACACCAGGGCCTGTCAGGGGGTGGGGGGCAAAGGGAGGGAGAGCATTAGGACAAATATCTAATGCATGTGGGGCTTAAAACCTAGATGTTGAGTGGGTGGGTGCAGCAGACCACCATGACACATGTATACCTGTGTAACAAACCTACATGTTCTGCACATGTATCCCAGAACTTAAAGTAAAATTAAAAAAAAAAAAAGAAAAGAAAATGTTCAGGCCTGTGATAAGAGGCCAGGAGACTTTAGATGATGGTAAGGAAGTTCTGGAAAGGGTAAGGAGACATAAAGATCAATGTTGTCAAACAACAAACAAATCCTTCAAACCAAACAAAGGAAACCCAAATCCACTGCGCCTCCTGGAGACAATTCCTAGGATTCCTGATCACAAACTATAGAACAGGGCTGCCTGAAATCAAATTTCTGCTCTACTCTTACTACCTATGAGACCAGAAAAAAGTCCTTTACTTCACTCTGCTGGTTTCTTTATTTATACAATGAAGTTGATGGCAGCGCATACTTAACAGGATTGTCGCGTGGACTAAGTGGATAAATATACACAAAATACTCCAAAGCACGGAAGTGACACAACTCAGAAGCTCAGCCTAGGCCTTGATACAGGGAAGGGGATAATTTGGTGTAAGCCGAGGGAAAGGAAGTGCTTTCTCTTGCTATCCCTAAGGACAGTATATTTTTCAGCTTTAAAGTCTGTAAAAAATAAAGCGAGAAATACTAAATTGGTTAAACATCAAGCTTGCAACTTCAAAATTTAAAAGTCCTAGGAAATTTGAGCTCAATGAGTCTCGTAATAGTTTTTTCACAGAGGCTCCCTGTGTGCTTTATTGGAGTTAATAATAACAATTTAATCATTTTTCCAAATCAAATTATGGGGAACAGATGAGTTAACATTGTTTTGTAGACTTTTTCACTTCCCGATATTTGGGTCAGAAAAAAGAAAACACCCTGGCTTTATGTTGTGTTACTGTCTCCCCAATTGAACCCAGCCCCTATCTGAGGACAGCAATGTTCCTTCTTAAGTTAGTTGCGATCTCTGAGTGTACAAACTGTTTCCTGGGCTGCTGGGTACTTTCAGAAGCAGCATTTAGGTTATTATAGCAAAACACAGTGAGTTTTTTTTTTTTTAACTGATGTACTTTGTAAGTAACTGTCAGAAAAATTATATAAAAATTCTATTCTTTTAAGTCGTAAATTAGACATCTGAGAGTGCTTTCCTTTCAAGATTTATCTACAGAGTACTTTGAAAAAATATGACAAAAACAACAACAAAATCCTTTCAATGATTTCCAGATAAATACTACCAGTAATGTTTGTGTTTAGGTCTTTGAGGCTGCGTCACTAAACTGGAAATTCTTTTCTCCTTCAAAGATGCTAGAGTTGTTTGTTGTTCATTTGTGTTTTTTGTTTTTAATCCCTCTCTCTCCTCAACTTGTCAGACTGAAACAATAGATAGGTATGCCTTTATGATATTAAAAAAGACATAAATCATTTCTTTCCCTGGTGGACATATCTTGTTTTCATTGATTGATATTTCCCTGGGAAGTCCAATGGGTGTAGGAAAGGACTGTAGAGGGACTGACCAGGCCTAAGGAATAGTGCAGGTAAGTTTACCTGAAAGATCAAGTTGACTAGTGAGCCTCACATAAGAATTAGGAGATGGGCCTTTGCATTTTTGAAAGAGTGAGTCACCTGAAAAGACCGAAATCAACTTTTGTAGTAAAGTTACTCTCTTTCTTTTCTTTTTTCTTTTTTTGAAACGGAGTCTCACTTTGTTGCCCAGGCTGGAATGCAATAGTGTGATCTCGGCTCACTGCAACCTCTGCCTCCCGGGTTCAAGCAATTCTCCTGCCTCAGCCTGCAGAGTAGCTGGGATTACAGGTGCCCAACACCATTCCTGGCTAATTTTTGTATTTTTAGTAGAGACAGGGTTTCACCATGCTGGCCAGGCTGGTCTTGAACTCCTGACCTCAGGTGATCCACACACCTCAGACTCCCAAAGTACTGGGATTATAGGCGTGAGCCACTGAGCCTAGCCAACAAGTTACCGTTTCTATGCACCTAGGTCGACTGCAAACTTTTAGCAACTTTGGTTTTTTTTTTTTTTTTGTCTGAAGTATTTTTGACTGCTAGGGAAGCTGGAAGTAAAGGGAAATTACTACTCTCCAGAAAAGGAAAATTATTTTCCTCAGTCACTGATGTGGGTTGGTGAAAACATGCCCACCTAACTCAACTCTTGAGTAGTAACACTGAGGTGAGTGGTCTACACCAATTCCTGGAGCTCCAATTGCCTATGGTGGAAACTGGCATGATCATGCCCTCTTAATTGGCTTCCTTCTCTTCCTTGCCTCTCTTCTCTACACCCCTACCAGGGTTTTCCTGTATCACCTCCCAAGTAAACTATTTGCACATGAATCTTGTCTCAGGGCTGGTTTCTGGAGGAACCCAGGTGAAGGCAGCTCGATCCACCAACATACTTGGAGAAAAAGAAAGCATTTTATGTCAGAAGATAGAAAATGACAATGTTCCCAGGCTTCCTTCTTTCTCTCCAAAAAGACCACCTATGGGTACGGATGGGAGAAAATTGATAGCATAAAATTCTTCTATTTTTTCCAGTGTTATTGAAGAATAATTGAAAAATTAAAATTGTATACATTTATGGTATACAATGTGATAATTTAATATACATGTGCATTGTGAAATCATCATCACAAGCTAATTCACATATCCATTAACTCATACAGTTGCCCCCCCTTTTCATGTTGATAACACTTAAGATCTACTTTCTTAGCAAATTTCAATTATACATTACTATTAACTATAGTCACCATGCTGTACATTAGATCTCTAGAACTTATTCATCTTATAACTAAAAGTTTGTACCCTTAGACCAACATCTCTCCATTTCCCACACTCCTAGTCTCTGATAACCATCATCCTAACCACATGTAAGTGAGATCATGAAGTATATGTCTTTCTGCATGTGGCTGTTTCACTCAGCATAATGGCCTTCAGATTCATCCATGTTGTCTCAGTTGGCAAGATCTCCTTCTTTTTAAGGTGGAATAATATTCCATTATATATATATATTTATATAAATATATATATAATATATATATTTATATAATATATATATAATATATATATTTATATAATATATATAATATATATTTATTAATATATATTATATAATATATAATATATATATTTATATGTGTATATATGTGTGTGTATATATATGTGTGTGTGTATACATATATATATGTGTGTGTGTATATACACCACCCATTCATCTGTCAACAGACACTTAGGTTGATTCCATATCTTGATTATTGTGTATAATGCTGCAATGAACATGGGAGTACAGACATTTCTTCAACACACTGATTTCACTTCCTTTGGGCATATACCCAATAGTGGAATGGCTGGATCCTATGATATTTCTATTTTTAGTTTTCTGAGAAACCTTTATACTGTTTTCTGCAATGGCTACACCAATTTACATTGCCACCGACAGTGTGGAAGGGCTCCTTTTTCTCCATATCCTTCCCAACACTTGTCTTTTGACTTTTTGATAATAGCCAACTTAAAAGGTGTGAGGTAATATCTTATTGTGGTTTTGACTTGCATTTCTCTGATGATTAGTGATGTTAATCATTGTTTCATACACCTTTTTGCCATTAGTATGTCTTCTTTGGGAATATGTCTATTCAAGTTCTTTGCCCATTTTTGAACTGGGTTGTTTTATTGGTATAGAGTTGCATGAATTCCTAATATATTTTGGATGTTAATTACTTATCAGATATATGATGTGCAAATATTTCTCTCATTCCATATGTCTTTTCATTTTGTTGGTTGTTTTCTTTGCTGTGCAGAAACTTTTTAGTTGGATGCAGTCCCACTTATTTTTGCTTTTGTTGCCTGTGATTTTGGTGTCATATCCAAAAAAGTCATTGCTAAGACAAATGTCAAGAGTTTTTCTCATGTTTTCTTCAAGGAGTTTTATGGTTTCAGGTCTTAAACTTTTCTTTAATCCATTTTGAATTGGTTTTCGTGTATGGTGTAGCATAAAGATCTAATTTCATTTCTTTGCATATGGATATCCAGTTGTCCCACTATTTATTGAAAACACTATCCTTGCCCTATTGGATGTTCTTGGTACCTTTGTCAAAAATTTGCTACTATAGGTGGGATTATTTCTGGGCGCTCTGTTTTGTTGTATTGGTCTATGTTTATGCTATTGCCACACTGTTTTGATCATTATAGCTTTGTAATATAATTTGAAATCAGGAAGTGTGATGCCTCCAGTTTTGTTCTTGATTTTCAATATTGTTTTAGCTATACAGGGTCTTTTGTGGTTTCATATGAATTTTAGAAATTTTTTTTAAATTTCAGTGAAAAATGCAATTAGAACTCTGATAGGGATTACATTGACTCTGTAGATCACTTTGGGTAGTAGGAACATTTTAATAATATTAATTCTTCCAATCCATGAACAGAGTATATCTTTCTTTTTTTTGTATCTCAGAATTTTTTTTTTACTGTTTAAAGTAAACCATTTATTGGTTTTGTTTTTGTTTGCTTGCTTATATTCAGGGAGTACAGGTGCAGGTTTGTTACATAAATATGTTGCATAATGTTGAGGTTTGGGCTTAGTATCCTGTCACACAAATAGTGAATATAGTACCCAATAGGTAGTTTTTCAACCCTTGATCCCCATCCCTTAACCCTTTTGGAGTCCCAATTGTCTATTGTTTTCACGTTTAACTCCCATTTATAAGCGAGAACATGTGGTATTTGGTTTTCTGTTTCTGCATTAATTCACATAGGATAATGCCCTCCAACTTCACCCACATTGCTGTAAAGGTCATGATTTTGTCATGAACACAGTATATCTTTCCTCTTGTCTTCTTCAATTTTTAAAAATTAATATTTTATAGTTTTCAGTTTACAGTCCTTTTAGTTACTTGGTTAAATATATTCACAATTGTAAATGGGATTTATTTTGAGCTGTAACCCTTCTAATTCTCTCCCTTTGGAAGAAAAGGCCTGATAGAGTCATTCAACTTTTTCCTCCTGTGTCTAGTTGGTTGAGGTATGCTTCAGGCTGCCTGCCCTGCCATCATCTAGGGAACTCATTTTGTGGTCTCTGTCCCTGCTACTGTGTCTATTGCCTTGAATGACAGCTCGGCATTAGCAGTACCCTCAAGTGTTTGTGTGGCCAGGAGAACAGGTTGCTGCATACGTCCACTTTAGGCAGATTATTGTGTGCTGTCACACCTGCATGAGGTTATGTGGCTCCCATTCTCTGTAGCCAGGCTCACCACTCCTCAGGAAATTGTTGCTGATGCTGTGGAAACTAGAGATGTCTTCCTCTGCTCCCAAGTCAAGTAGTCAAGGGTCTCACAGTCCTCTCCTTCTCTCACAAATCTGAGAAGACTGGTATATGTCAGGCAGAGTATCACCTGGGTGTTTTTAGTTTGAGGTTGGCTGTAGTATCATCATAGGCCTGTATAAATTTCACTTCTTCTCTCTCTCCCTGAGGTTCCTGCTCTTTGGCCTTAAGCATAGCATAAAAACATTGTTTGAAAAGCACTGATGGCTTCATATGATGGTGGTTGGTCATATGGCTTCGCTAGTTATTGATACTGTTATAGCACAGAGAGAATTGTGACATTTCACTATTATATACTTGATGTCATTTAATCTGACAATTTTGTCTTCTTTCAAGTAGATAGAGAAAAAATATATCTTTCCTTTGGAACTATGGGTGGGTGGGAATCAGGAGGTGTATGCTCTTCTCTCCCCATTATAGTTAAGTTACAGCCACTCCTTGTACTCTTTTACCTCACATCCCCCGGGAAACTTTATAGACTGCTCCACATCCATACAGACTTCCCCTTTTGGAGTTCTAGGCAAGGAATCAATCTCCTAGCCCTGCCTAATACTCAGGATTTTGAGTGTTAGCAGGAGATGAGCAGATAGCCAAGGGCATGACAGAAGCCACAGGGTTGCTTTAGGGACCTATAGGGGAGTGGAGGGTGGAGTAAAGTAGGCAGACTGAAGCCCTGCAGGGGCTGGGGAGATAAGGATATGGGTGCAGTAGGGCACCAAGTAAGGCAGGGCCCCAAGCTGGAAGACTCTTCAGGAATGAAAGGAAAGTTATTTTGAAATGTTGAGACTACAAGTCACCCTAGCCAATAGCAGCTCTATTTCCTGCCCAGGTCCTAAACAATTCAATAAATAAAAGAAATGAGAAAGGCCAACAATATCACTTTTGTTTCTGATAGAATTAGATGCCCACCTTCCCTGCCATATTAGAAGTCTGGCTACCCTGAAGACTCCATGCTGGAAAGCCCATATAGAGAGACCACACACGGATAGAGAGAGAGGCTGCAGGTGCCCCGTTCAGACATGTGAGTGAGTGAGACTGCAGATGATTTCAGTCCTGGACACTATTTGACTGCATCCAGAACCACCTAGCCAAACTCTTTTCATAATTTTAACCTGCAGAGATTATATCATGTTAAATAATTGTTTTAAGCCATTGAATTTTGTTACACAGAAATGGGTAACTGAAATCCTATTTTCTCATTTTGAAAAAAATTGGTTATCATTTATTGGATAAAACCTTATGCAATTACCATTAGGAAGCTCTATTTTTGTGTGTGTGTGCCTGTGTGTAGGTGTGTCTTTAAATATTTTTCAGTTTAATGCATCTTTATGAATTATTATTATTATATGTTTTATAGGCCAGCTAATAAATAACATCTACAAAAGGCTTGAAATCCTGCATTTCTAACATGCTGCCAGGAGATGCTGATGCTACCAGACCAGGGATGACACTTTGAGCAGTAGGACACTAAACTGTATTGTTTTGAATACCAGCTGGTAAGCTGGATGTCTCCTAGTAGATTGCAGGTTGTGGTACTTTTGGGATAATGAACTCTTGCTGCCTCACTATAATGCATCACAAGATTTAAAATTGGATCAGAACTTCCTGTAACAAAATGCCAGCCCAAATGCACTAGTGGGCTTTTCAGGCCTTTCTTCCTCCAGGTCTATCTGTTTTACTGTTGTCAACCCTTGTGCAAGGCCTCATTATAAAGAATGTCTTTCCAATGTAACATGGCTTTGCATTGTGACCAATATGTTCTCCTGTTCTTGTAGGTGGGATAGATTTAAAATAAGTAGAAGGGTTCATGTTTATTGGAGTTTATTTTAAGGCCTTGTAGTAATTAATAGAAATTTCCACAGGATAAATGATTTTAAGAAACTATAATTAAGTTTTCCATAATGCTTATTACTTGGAGAAGCAGTACGTTATCAATATTCAAGTAGTTAATAAGCACAATGTTAGGTTTACGTCCATTTTATTCCTGTTTTGATATTTATTCCTGTTTGGATTTTGATTTTTTCTTTTTTTTGAGATGGAATCTCACTGTATTGCCCTCACTAGAGTGCCGTGGCATGATCTCAGCCCACTGCAGCCTCCACCTACTGAGTTCAAGCAATTCTCATGCCTCAGCCCCTCAACTAGCTGGGATTACAGGTGTGTGCCACCATGCCTGGCTAATTTTTGTATTTTTAGTAGAGATGGGGTTTTATCATGTTGCCTAGGCTGGTCTTGAACTCCTGACCTCAGGTGATCCACCCACCTTGGCCTGTAAAAGTGCTGGGATTACAGGCATGAACTACCTTGCCTGGCCTTTTTGTTTGTTTTCTTAAAGCTAACATCTAAATAGTCATGCATCCTGGATTTAGGTGTCAGCTGGATAGTAGAGAGAAGCTAGGCAAGGGTTAAAAAATATGGTAGCGTGGCAGGCCAGGTCTCACTAATGCAGGCCTCCATAACAACTGTTTCAGTACTGACTGAATTGTTAAGCTAAATATTAAAAGCTGAAAGAGCCAGGGTCCTTATACAAAGGCTAGAATATTAATAAAAGCGCACCAAGAGTTTTGCCCAAGCATGACAAGATAACAAAGGAATTCTTGGCAGGGCCCATTTAGGATTAAACAAGTTTTATTGGGGATCTGAAGAAACTCCCCAGGCCTCCACAAACAAGTTTAGTGGGAGTCTGAAAGAACTCCCTAAACCTCCATGATTTAGCAGCAGACAAAATAAGGGTAATCACCCCAGCACCTGGACCCATTTAGATTAAGTAAATTTACTGAGGCTCCAGAGGAAGCTCTTCAAGACTCAGACCTTAGTTATAGATTAAAATAAGTTAATCACTTATGTCTTTAGATGAATGCACAGTTACATATAGACATATAGTGTAGAAGGTATATGAGCTCTGGAAAACTTTGTAATTTTGAGTTAGTCTGGTGATAATTTCCAGGCCTTCTCCCTGTAACTGGTTATAAAAATAAAAACTCTTTTCCTCACCAGTTCATCTGCATCTCGTTATTGGGCCATGAGAAATAGCAGCCCGACCCTCAGTTTGGTCTGGGAAGAGTAGCAATTTAATGCTTGAAAAATGACTCCCCTATACACCCATGTTTGGAAACGGATTATAATCAGAAAGCAGGCAGGGCAAACTTCTAGGACCCTAGGCTAGGCAGGGCTGTAGCTAATAACTTAAATTTACAAAAGAACCAATACTCCAGTTCATCTCTGTTAGTCCAACATAGATGATGTTTGCAAACCTCACAATTTTAGCAGCTTTATTAATTGACATTCTTGAAGTCTCCCATACTATGAGAATAGTTATTATTCAATAATGAATAAAAATTGAAAAGGAAATAAAAGGTAATTGACTAGGCCACTGAAGCGCACACAGTTATTACTGATGCTGAATGCAGCTAAAGAAGTCTGGAAACAGAGTCACCAATCAGCACACTAAAATGCAAATATAGGTGAAAGTCATTCTCTATGAAAGCCACTTTAGACAGTTTGGAAGAGGTGATTGTCTCACCAGATGCATAGACATCAATGCAGGGATACAAGAAATATGAAAAAGCAAGGGAATATGATGCCACCAAAAGAACATAATAATTCTTTAGTAACAGATCCCAAATGAAAAGAAAATCAATTCATTTCCAGAAAAGAAAAGCAAAATAATGATCTTAAGGAAACTCAATGAAATAGAAGAAAATATTGACAATTCAACAAAATCAGGAAAACAAGTTATGATATGAGCAAGCAATTAACAAAGAGAAATCAAAAGAAAGGAATCAAAAGGAAATCCTGCAGCTGAATAACTCAATGAATGAAATAAAAAATACAATGGAGAGCTTCAGTAGCAGCCTTGATTAAGCAGATGAAATAATCTTTGAACTTGAAGATAGGTCATTTGAAATTACCCAATAAGAGAAAAAAAAAAAGAAATAAGAATGAAAAAGAGTAAAGAAATCTTGTAAAACTTACGGGACACAATTAAGCAAATAAGTATTTGGGTATGGGAATTCCAGAAGAAGAGAAGGGAAAAGCATGGAAAAACCTATTACATGAAATAATAACTGAAAACTTTCCAAGTCTGGAGAGAGATATGGACATCAAGATTCATAGAGCTCAAAGATTTCCAAATAGTTTCACCCAAAATGTCCTTCATAAGGCACATTATAGTCAAATTGTCAAAAATAAAAGACAAAAAGAATTTTTAAAACAGCAGGGGAAAAGTATCAAGTTACATATAAGGGAATTCCCATCAAATTAATAGCAGATTTCTCCACAGAAATCTTACAGTCAAGGAGAGAATGGGATGACATATTCAAAGTGCTGAAAGAAATTAATATGCAGTCAAGAACACAATACCCAGCAAAGCTATCCTTCACAAATGAGGGAGAAATAATTTTTTTTCCAGATAAACAAAAACTGAGGGAATTTATCACCACTTATACTGGCCTTACAAGACATGTTCAAGTAAGTCCTACATCTGGAAGTGAAAAGATAGAAATCACTATTATGGAAACATGCCAAAATATGAAACTCAGTGGTAGAGAAGACACACAAAGGAGAAAGAGAAAATATCAAGCCTTATTACTACAGAAAACCACCAAGTCTCAATGATAAACAGTAATAGAGGAAAAAAAGAACAAAGTATACACAAAAACTTAGAAAACAATTAACAAAATGGTAGAAGTCCTCACCTTTCAATAATAACCTTGAACGTGAACAAATTACTGACTTAAAAGATAAAGACTGACCCAATGGATTAAAAAAATGACATATCCTGCCTACAAAAACTCACTTTATCTGTACAGACACATATAGACTGAAAGTGAAGGTATGGAAAAAGATATTTCATGCAAATGACTACCAGAAGTATGCAGGAGTAGCTAGACTTGTATCAGATAAAATTGACTTTAAAAATTTTAAAAAAAGAAGAAAAAGAAGGTCATTATATAATGAAAAAGGGATCAATTCAGAAAGCAGAAAAATAATTGTAAATATATATCCACTCAATACCAGAACACTCAGATCAACAAAGCAAATATTTTTAGATCTGAAAGGAGAGGTGGATCCAATACAATAATAGTTCAGCACCCCACACTCAACATTGAATAGCTCATCTGGGCAGAAAATCAACAAATAAACACAAGACTTAAACTGTGCTTCAGATAAAATAAACCTAACAAATGTTTAGAGAACATTTTATACAATGCCTTCAGAAAACATTCTTTTCATCAGCTCATTGAAAATTCTCTAAGATAGATCACATATTAGACCACAAAACAAGTCTTAACAAATTTAAAAGAATTGAAATCAAATCAACTATCTTATAGGATTGCAATAAAATAAAACTAGAAGGCAGTAACAAGAAGAATTTTTGAAATTGTGTAAATACATAGAAATTTAAAAACATGCTCCTGAATGACTGCATCAGTGAAGAAATTGAGAAGAAAAAAATATAAAATTTATTAAATTAAAATAGAACCACAACATAACAAAACCTATGAGATACAGCAAGAGCAGTACTAAAATGGACGATTACAGCAATAAACACCTATATCAAAAAAAGTAGAAAGATTTCAGATAAAAAACCTAATGATGCATCTCAAGGAACTATCAATGCAGGAACAAACCAAATGCAAAATTAGTAGAATAAAAGAAATAATAGTTTACCTATGTAACTACCTGCACATCCTGCACATATATCCCAGAACTTAAATTAATTTTAAAAAAAGACCAAAGCAGAAGTAAATGACATTGAGACTAAAAAGAGAGAGAAGATCAACAAACAAGATGGATTTTTAAAAACATAAAAGATTGACAAACTTTTAAGTAGGCTGAGAAAAAAACAGAGAAAACCCAAATAAGTAAAATCAGAAATGAAAAAAGGGTCCTAACAATTGAGGCAACAGAAACAGAATCATTAGAGACTATTATGAAAAGCTATATACCAAGAAATTAGAAAACCTAGAAGAAATGAATAAATTCCTGGACACATAAAACCTACCAAAATGGAACCATGAAGAAACAGAAAATCTCAACAAGCCAATAATGAGAAATGAGATCAACACCACAGTAAAAAGTATCCCATCATAGAAAGGTCCAGGACATGATGGCTTCAATGCTGCATTCTACCAAATATTTAAAGAACTAATACTAATTCTGCTCAAACTCTTACAAAAAATTGAAGAAAAGGAAATTCTTCCAAATAGATTCTATTAGGCCAGCATTACCCTGATGCCAAAACCAGATAAGGACACAACAACAACAATAAAACTATAGACGAGTATCCCTGATGAACATAAAATGCAGAAATCCTCAACAAAATACTAGCCAACTGATTCTAGCAGCATATTAAAAGGTCATTTACCATAAACAAGTTGGGTTTATCCCAGGAATGCAAGGATGTTTCCATATATGAAAACCAATAAACATTACATATCACATCAACAGAATGAAGGATTAAAAACATATTATCACCTTAATATACACATGTAAAAAATTGATATTTTAAACAATTCTTCATGAGAAAAACTCTGAACAAGTTAGGTGTAGAAGGAACGTACCTCAACATGATAAAGACTATATATGACAAACTCAAAGTCCACATCATACTAAACAGGGAAAAGTTGAAAGCTTTTCTTCTAAGATCTTGAACAAGACAAAACGTCTACTTTCACCACTTTTATTTTACATAGTACTGAAAGTCCTAGCTAGAGCAATTGGCAAGAGAAAGAAGTAAAGAGCATCCAATCCAAATTGGAAAGAAGGAAGTCAAATCGGCTCTGCTTGCACACAACATAATCTTATTTATAGAAAACCCTAAAAGCCCTTCCAAAACCTCTTAGAACTGACAAACAAATTCAGTAAAGTTTCATGATACAAAATTAGCATACAAAAAAGTAATCAAGAAAGCTGTTTCATCTACAATATCTATTAAAAAAAACCTAGGAATAAATTTAACAAAGGAGGTGAAAGGTTTTTCAAGGACAACTTTAAAACATTAATAAAAAAAATTGAAGAGGACACACAAAAAATGAAAAGACATCCCATGTCCATGGATTGGAAGAAGTAACATTGTGAAAATAACCACACTATCAGAAGTGATCTACAGATTCAATACAATTCTTATCAAAATACCAATGACATTCTTCATAGAAATAGAAAGAAAATCCTAAAATTTGTGTGGAACCACAAATGACCCGGAATAGTTAAAGAAATTCTCAGCAAAAAGAATAAAGCTGAAGGCATCAAACTACCTTACCTCAAAATATATTACAAAGTGTTATTAACCAAAGCAGCATGGCACTAGGATAAGAAGAGACACATATGACCAATGGAGCAGAATAGAGAATCTATAAATAAATCCATGAATTTACAGTCAACTGATTTTCAGCAAAGATTCCAAGAACACTAATTGGGGAAGGGACAGTCTCTTTAATAAATAGTATTGGGAAAATTGAATATTCATACACAGAAAAATGAAACTACATCTCTCTCACCATACAAAAGCCAACTCAAAGTGGATTAAAGACTTAAGTGTAAGACCTGAAACTATGAAACTACTAGAAGAAAACACATGGGAAACCCTTAAGGACATTGGTCTGGGCAAAAATTTTATGAAGAAAATCTGAAAAGTGTAAGCAAAATATAGAGTGCAATTAACATCTTCACAATGTAAAAATAGACAAGTAGGATTATACCAAACTAAAAAGCTTCTGCACAGCAGGAGAAATAATCAACAGAATAAAGAGACAACCTGAAGAATGGGGGAAAATCTTTGCAAACTGCTCATTTGACAAGGGATTAATGTCCAGAATATACAAAGCACTCAAACAAGTCAACAACAAAGAAACAAGTAATGGGATCAAAAGATGGGCCAATGAGCTAAATAGACATTTTTAAAATAAGACATACAAATGGCCAGCTGGTATAAAAAAAAATTCTCAACATCACTAATTATCAGGGAAAAGCAAATTAAAACTATAATGAGATATAATCTTATGCCATTTAAAATGGCTGTTATCAAGAAGACAAAAAAGAAATGCTGGTGAGGATGTGGAAAAAAAGGAAACTTTACATGCTGTTTGTGGGACTGTAAATTAGTACAACCATTATGGAAAACAATATGAAGTTTCCTCAAAAAACTAAAAAGACAACTACCATATGATCCAGCAATCCCACTACTGGGTATACAATCAAAGGAAAGGAAATCAGTGTATCAAAGAGATACCCGCATTCCCATGTTTATTGCAGCACTATTCATAATGGTCCAGACGTGGTATCAACCTAAGTGTCTATCAGCAGATGAATGGATAAAGAAAATGTGGTATACATACACAATGGAATACTATTTAGCCATAAAAGAACTAAATTCTGTCATTTGCAGCAACATGGATAATCTTGAAGAACATTGTGAAATAAGTCAAGCACGGAAAGATAAACACTGCAAGTTCCTACTCATATGTAGAAGCTAAACAATTTATTCACAGAAGTAGAGAGTAGAATAATGGTTACTAGAGGCAAGAAAAGGTAGGGGGAGGGGGACTAGCCAAAGGCTAGTTAACACCTAGAAAAGTAGAGTTAGATAGGAGAGGGAAGTTCTAGTGTTTTATAGCACTATAGGGTGAATATAATTAACAATAAATTTTCTGTGTATTTTCAAAAGCTAGAAGAGTGAGTTTCGAATGTTCTCAACACAAAGAAATGATACATATTTGAGCTGATTTGATCATTACACATGTATACATTTGTCAGAATTTCACACTGTACCCCATAAATATACATAGTTATTATGTGTCAACTAAAAAATAAAAATAAAGAGTGCAATTAGGCCGGGCGCGGTGGCTGACACCTGTAATCCCAGCACTTTGGCAGGCCGAGGCGGGAGGATCACGAGGTCAGGAGATCAAGACCATCCTCCCTAACACAGTGAAATCCCGTCTCTACTAAAAATACAAAAAAATTAGCCGGGAGTGGTGGCTGGCGCCTCTACTCCCAGCTACTCGGGAGGCTGAGGCAGGAGAATGGCGTGAACCTGGGAGGCGGAGCTTGCAGTGAGCCGAGATCGCGCCACTGCAGTCCAGCCTGGGCGACAGAGCGACACTCCGTCTCAAAAAAAAAAAAAAAAAAAAAAAAAAAAAAAAAAAAAAGAGTGCAATTAAAGATCTTCCAAATGCAATAGTTTTAGACATATTATTTCCTTAACACATGTTTTTAGAGGTAAAATTGCTTTATACTGCCATCATGAATGAAATGCTATCTCCTCTGAGAGGCCTTCCCTAACATGTCCAAAATAGACTCCTCTTCTGTCACTGTTTATCCAATTACCTTATTTTACTTTTTGTAGGATTATCACTGTCTGAACTTAGTTTAATAATTTATTTATAACTATAGAATGTAAGGTCCACGAAGACAAAGATTTTGCTTGATTTGATCTTTACTATATTTCTAGCATCTGGAATAGTGCCTGGCATATGGTATATGCTCAATAAATATTAAATAAATAAATGTATATGAATCTCTGTTTTCCTACCATCTCCCTAGCACTGGCTATTATCATTTAAAAAGGCTTCAAATAGGTAAAAATTGGTATCTTGTTAATGGTGTAATTTTATGTCTGTTCAATATTTAGATTGTACTTCCTTTTCATATATTTACTGACTACTGTAGATTTACTTTAAGAAACCTGTAACAGTTCTTTATATTTTGACTCATTGCCTGCTATGTATATTACTGACAAATTATTCCAAATGAATTTCTCTATCTAGATCACATCACTTGCATGTAGACTTTTCAATCCCAAGAAGACAGTGACAGAGACGGATAGTTTGAATAAGCATGGCAGAAAGACTTCATTCTGTTCTTGGAAGTGTGGTTGCAGCTGCTATTTGCAGCATTGGAGCCTTTTGCTTGCTCTGAGTTTCCTGAGTCAGCCTAAGGTCTTTAAAAGCATAGCCTCATCATGCCAATGTGACAAAGCTGGGCCTCATCATTTGAAGTTGTGCTTCAGGGAATCCTTAAAATAGTCCTTCTGTCCCATTCTGCTTGTGGCTGCCCTACTTAGCTCACAATTTTGAAAGTTCCTTGAGTGTTTGGTGGTCAACTGTTTTCCAAATGGGGCCAGTTCTTTAAAGCCATGCTAAGATGAATGTCACTTTACTGCTGGAGTCTCTGGCTGGCCATTTCCTGTTCAATAGGTTCATTGAGAATGCTGTTGGAAATGCTCAAGCAAGAAGTGACTTCTGAGGTAGGCATCACTCTCACCATGTTCAGACGGGCTTTAACCTCTGAAATCACATTCTGCCTGCTGTCATCTCAAAGACGTTAGCCTTCTTGGTTAGGTGTTCTTCTTTGTCCATCTGTGCAATATTGGTTTGACGATTTTCTGACACATTACAGGGATTGCTTCTCCCTCTGCATGACTGAAGAAACTCTTTACATATGGAAAGATTCCCCTGAAGCAGTATAGCACACTTTCATCTCTTTCTCTCTTTCTCTCTCTCTCTTTCTTTCTTTTTTCTCTCTCTCTTTCTGTCATGACAAAAAAGAGAACGGATTATGACAAGTGAAAAATGTGAGTACATATGGTACTGTAACTTTGGCCTATCCATTTGGTGATGAGGATCTATATTATATTACATATACCTAGAACTGGTTTAAAATAAAACCATTATACCAACCTCCTCCTCTATTTAATATATTAGAGAAAGAGGAAGACCTCTAAATTTCAGCTTTATATTAAGATTTTAGTTATTATAAAATGAGGTGATTGGAGCTGGACAGGAATGGACCTGGGAGTGAAAGGTCTTCCTGCTGCCATTTAATTGGGTTGATTTCATGCTGCTCACTGAGCTTTATAAAGGCATAATTGGAGTGTGTAAATGTAGCACATCAAAATCAAAGTGAGCCTTCTGTAATAGTTCTGTGTGATAATTCAGAAACTCTTTGCTATGCTTTTTTTTTTTTTATGAACCTGGCCTTAGTTCAACATGTAATTGAATTGGGCCAGTGATAGAATCTTCTACTCACAGATGATTGCAAAATTGCTCTTCTTAAATTGTTAACATGGATGTGAAATTGAGGCCATGCTGTTAAGTATTTTTTGTTTTTGTTTGAAAACAGTATAACTTTTTGGTGTTTTCCTCTAAGAAAGGGCAGTGCTAGAAGTCACAGTCTTTTTATTTATTTTCTGAGGGTGCACCTTAATGATCATTTTTATCTCCACTTGGCTACAGCTGAGGATCTGAATGTATGCAGAATAACTTCAGAGGTCCCAGTGGAAACCTTATTTCAGAAACCACCAGCTATAAACAATCTCTGGGCTTCTTTGGCATGCCACTGGTATACCCTTCCATCAGGTTAGGACAACACCTTCTTCTTTAGAAAAAAAACCTCTACCAACTTTTTTACTCTGGTCTTCTGTCCTTTGCAGAGGTGTAAAGAATTGTGCTTCCTTGTGTGGCTGATAAGCTTACTTCCCATACAAAGGAAGAGCAAGTTCCATGAATACCCCATACTCTCTAGGTACTTTATAAGCCACAGTCAGCAAACCCACTCAATAGCCCTATGCTTTAAGATATGCTACAGTAGGGGTCAATATGGCATGAATCTAAAACTGGGGGACTATTGTTTTGTCTTATTAAAAGCATGATTTTTATCTACCACGTTGTGAACAATTAGCTACTTCATGAAGACCTCTCTGAAAAATGACATTTTTCATTTTCTCTATTTTCTTTTCCTTTTTCTTGTTTGTATTTGGTTTCCATATTTGTTCTTTCAGTGCCATTTGGAATTGTTTGAGGAAGGGCATATAGCACAAAATAAAAAGTAATACTTCAACAATGGTTTTAAGTGAAGTGATGGATGCTGAAGATGGAGTGGATCTTACGATCACACTTCAGGTCACTGGTGTGCTAGAGACGGTTTGCCCTGACTCTTGAGAGCAGACTGTGCTCACCTCTTCCTAACTTCACATTTAGTGGGGTTACAGTGGTAGCTTGAAGTTAGCTGTGGTGCGAGTAATTTTACCACAGAAACTGGCAATCTTTACACATCTGGTGTGATTTTTCTCCCAAAAGACCCCGTTATGAAACATTTCTCAACGTGTCACTGCCTGTGGTCAATGAACGGAGAGTAGGAGGGCAAAAGTTAATCAAGAGAATTCACCTTTAGAAGCATTCCTGGTTGGTGAGAATAGCAGAGCTACTTCAGTTATATAACAATACATGTAAATGGAGACTATGAAGTACGGAGAGAAATTATTTTGAACAAATGCAAGAAAATAGGTACATCTAAATGGATTTTCTTTCAAAATTACCACAATGAAAAATGATGCACCCATTCCACTTAGTTGTCTTTACTCAAATCCATTTTGAAGACTCTTCTTGAAAATAGTTTCAGAGAAATATTCATGAAGCACATACATGTTTTACGACTTCAGTCTGATATGTAGTGATACGTAAAAGCTAAAATATCTTCATTCTTACCACATTCTAATATGTAGCTGATGGCATTACCTAGTATTTCTCTAAGAAGTTATCTTTGCCGCCACGTTGCTGTGGTTCCCGGCAAGACTGCTTGCCCTGTGCACCCTCTGCAGCTCCCACCTCTGGGATCTATCCCCTATGATATCTCAGGGGCAAGGCTCTGGTGGATGAGGACAGATACTAGGACTGGCTCCCTCCATTAGGCCTCCCCACCACAGCACCTTCCCCAGTGTCTCATGTCTGGACTGGAGTAGCGTTGGGCAGACAAATTAGCCCAGTTCCTCCGCAGGACTGTAACTAGGGAATGAAACATCAGTCTCCACTTCCTGCCGTCACCCTAAATCCTACCAGAAATCTTGTGGGGCTACCCACAAGATTGAGGGAGGAAAAAATCCCCTTTTTCCAGTAGGGGGAGCTGCAGGGAGGAAATAGTTTCTTTTTATTAAAAAACCCACTGTACTCCCCTAAAAGCGAACTCTATCTGGCTCCTATTTCTCATCTCATAGTGTTGCCGGATGGGAGGAGAGAAGTAGAAATGCCTTGTACTAACACCACAAGCCCTGGAAAGGTGTCTGGACTCCACTTCTCACGGTTCTTTCAGGAACTTAGCACTCTTTTCCCACTTGGCTATCGCCATAGTTGTTTTACAAGACAGAGCCTGATCCGGCACCTAATATCAGAAATTCTATTGCAAAAATAGATTTTTTAAAAAAGCTTTTATGCTTAGGAATTCAGTGTGTGAAAAATGGAGGCAATGCAACACATGAGACTTTTAAATGCTGTGTGAGAAGAGTAAATGGTAAATTTGTGGGTGGGTTTGTGCATGAAGAAGCTTGTACATAGGGAAGTCACGACTCTTCTCTTTTTTCAGCAGCGCACAGAGGTCTCTTCAGCGCTGCTTCATCACTATTCGTTTTTATCTTTACTCCCTAATCTTTTGAGGAATACTCTATCATATTTTGAAACCTTATCTTTTAGTACTCCTCTTGCTACTTGGAAAGAAAATGTAGAAGGTCAAGAAGAGAAGAAAAGCTTTGAAAAATTGTGTGATAGGTAACATCTACTCATTTTTATCCTGTTGGAAGAATCACATTCGCTTAATACATGACACTGATTCAAAACAGGTGGACATAGTTTCAGAAAAGTGGTAGGAATGTTTGAAATTTGATTCCTATCGTAATTTCTTCCTCTCTGTGAGGTCAGTACTGGTATCTGAGGGGATAGGTACATTTTACTTAGAGCTGGCTTAACACTGGGGCTGGGGTTCAAGCTTCACTGTAGAAAGATTGGAAAGAAAAAGACTAGGAAAGCAGGGAGGTAGGACTGAAGTGGTTTCTGAGGATGGCTGTGGTAAAAGGAAGGGCAGAGGAGATGGCATTTGAGAGTCACCTGGATTAAAAGGCAGGTTGAGTGGGAGAGAGGACATTGCTGAAAGGAAGGTAGTTAATTAAGCTGAATTCTGCTGTAGCAAGTCCCTGGGAAGTGCTGACATAGACTGAAGGATGATTGACTCTGGGACACAAACCACTGTATAAATTATATGAAATGAATAACACATGGGAAAGGTCTTAGACACATATGTAACATATAATGGAAATTCAATTAGTGTTGGTTTTCCTTCCCTTCCTGCTCTTGATGGTGCTACCAGGTGACACATAAAAACAGATTGTGTGAGTTTGGGTCAAAGTGTCACTGTGACAATATTGTCTCAATAGCACTTTCAATGCAGGTAAAAGTTCAATTCAATGTGTGAAATGGCTGAGTGAGAAAAATAGCAAAGTCACAGATCAGGATAGAAATAAAGCTATACCCTTACCTGGCATTGAGAATGAAATAATAGGGGTCTAGCTTCTCTTGGGAAAGTAGGAGTAAATGGAAGCCCAAACCTAGCATCTCCAGGAGCTAATCCATGAGCTAGTGACCATGACTATGAGAGGAAAACTAAGCCCAGGGAAGAATGTTGGGAAGTTGTAAAAAAAAGTCATATGATGTGGAAGTCCATGGATAATGAACCTTGACATTTGGAACATGTTCAGGTGTTAAATCCAATTTCTATCTAAGGAGGTCAGAATGCATAGGGCAATTAAAAGGGTAGTGGTAGGCAACTGCCTGCTTCTGTGTGTCCTCTGGGTATGGGCTCTTGGAATCTCTGGCTAGCTAACCTGAATCTACAGTGTCTTGATTGTTTACAATGCCTTTTTATGGTTCCTTCCTACTATGAAATGTACAACTGCTAGTGAGAGAAATGCTCAAAATGAAACTTTCCTCTTTACTAATTAATCCACTCTTCAATCTTTATTTAGATACTCAACACACATGTGCGTGAGCATGTGTGCACACACACATACAGACACAGAGTGCCAATTAAGACATGAATTTTCCACTACCTAGAAAGACCTTCATATTTCTTTGATCCTTCAGACTGAGATCAGATGTCTTTTTCTGAAGCATTCCCTGACTCCTTGCCTTAGGGTAGTTAAGCTTTCATAATGTATTGTAATATTTCAGGACTTCAGAAAACTTTGCTTTGTGTAATGGGCCTACAAGACACCCTGAAAATGATGTTGATTAATTATCTTTGTATTTATTTACAGGATGGTTGGTTGTTATTTTCTGCCACTCACAGTCAATTTTCCCTTTTATTTTGATAAGAGCATCTTATTTTCTTCTGGGAAATTTTCCCTCTTCCGTTGTGTGTACTTGATGGGGTTGCCAATCTTGGTGGGGCTGCCAATCAGCCCCACCAAGGGGTAGGCATATGAGCCATGATGGCCAATTGGACTAAAATGGAACTATTTACCTGTTTAAGCAGAAGGGGATTTATTACAGAGAATGGAGTATCCAGTAATTATTTGCAGAAAAAAATAATTGTTATATAACAAGTAACAGTCTGCAAAGAGAACTGTTAACATCAGGAAGCCACGGAAGTGGGAACCACGATGCCAACTTCTGATTGTCGTTGTAATCATTGGTACCAGAAATATGCATGTTAGCTGTGACTGACAGATAAGAAACCATGGCCACAATTGTTGGCCCCAGAGCCATGACATGCCTGCTGGGACTGCACCAACAAAATGGATGACCCATGCCATCCTCTCAATATCTAACAAGTGGCTAGCTACTGGGATTTCAGCTAAAGCTGTTGCAGAAAAATCAACCACCTTGCCATTTATGTTCTGCACCAGAAATTGCAGAAGCAGCACAAATGTGGCCTCCACCTCACTTCTGCCTTTCTGATCTCACATGAACACATGTGACTAGCTGAATATTATTAAGTACCTTCTGGAACACTGTCTGCAAACTAGACTATGGAATATAATGTTTAGCTTTCTGGCCTTAACGATGACTGAAGGGACTCTAGATGAGGGCAGAATGGATATTGAATATCAATCCACTATATAAACAATGGACTATCCCCCCAGGCTCTTGAGCCCAGTGGTTAAAGAGCAGAAGAAAAATGGTTGGAGCCAGTGGGTCCTCTTGCAATATCCTGAAGACTAGCTACCTAGATCCTCCAAATGCCCTGATTCCTGTCCTTTTAGGTTTCTGCTTTTGTAGATTTCCCTTTGGGTCTGGGAGCCCCCACCAGGACCTTATAATTATTTCCCTTTTACCTGTAGTTAGTCAGATTTGAGTTTTGACATTTGTAATCAAACCACCTCAATGGATACATTTAGGAACTTAATTGTCAGTGTTGGCATCCTCAATTCTTGCAGAATGAATTTGGTTGGCCTTAACTCTGCATCTAGAGAGCTGGCTGCTACCGATGTGAATAGCACCCTTGGAATTCTAGTTTCTAGAATCAAAAGTCAAAGAAGTCCTTGGATGTCATCCAATCCAAACTCTACTTTTTTTTTTTTTTTTTGGTTATCAGACACATTCCTTTATTATTGACATAGAAATTCTTAAGATAGTTCATGTAGACAAAAAGTACAATTATTTTAACAGCATAGAAATACCTTTGAAAGAAGAAAAGGTATATAAACAACTCTTGAAAAAAAATTTTAGATTTTAAATCGTTGCCATTATTAACTAAGAGTTTTATTGTAGAATTCATAGCCAGACTTGTCAAAATCTGTAAATATCTTATAGAAAGTTCTGTGATAAGGAAATTCATACTCAGTGGAAATGCTTTGGGGATTTTTAATGCGGAGATTGATCTTAATTTTTCAAATTACAACAGGCTTATCTATCAAAGCTTAATGAAATACAAACTTTGCGAATGATCCAGCCACAATCTTACATGCTATGCAGATTTCCAAATGCATTCCATGTCCTTCCACAAAAACACTTCCTGATGAATAATGTTTAACTTGGTCTTTTATAGTAGTGGTCCAAAGACTTTGAAAAATATTCTTAAGAAGCTACTACAGGAGCTTCCAATTTAATGAATTTTAACAGCTGTTTCTGCCACTAGGCCTATAAGTGGAACTTGATTTCCCTTGAGTCAATTCCATTAATTTGTTTTTATTATTTTAGGATAGCGAATATGCTTCAGCTGGCTGCGTTCAGAAACTAGAATTGGTGTGGGTGGCACAGCAACTCTGGTTTCAATCAGTCTTCCTCTGAGGGCTTCCCCTGAAGACCACCCAGATGGATGGGTGGTGCAAGAGCAAGCAGGGCCACAGTGTGAGTCGGGGGCACATGGCTCCATTCTGCACTCACGGGTGGGGCATTTCTGCTAAACACTTGGGAGAATTTCTCAGGAGATCAGGGCACTCAACAGTTTTCTGAAGTGGTAGAGCAATATTATTTCCTCTCAGCTTGCAAAGTGCACAGACCATCCCTCGGGTGTTTAAGCCCACACCTGCTGGAATGCACTTGGAATACAAGGTCAAAAGGACAGTGCTCAAAATGCAGCTAGGCTTCAAGGGGACGGAAGGTGACTTCAGATTCTATCTTAGTAAATTAGGGATAATAATATCTGCCCTACCAATTTCTCAGGGCTATTATATGTATAATATACAGATATAAAGACAAATATATTTTAAAAATAAATATTGCTAAGCATTTCAAATAATTTTAGACAGAGGCTAATACTAAGCTTACCTAAAAATGTTGTGCCTTACAGACCATCCCTCTCTCCCTGTGGTGAGGTTGAAGTGAGGTTTATTTTTTCCAATTATTTTATTGCCAAAGGTGAATTTCTAAAGGAGAAAAGTTAGGATATTTCCTTGAGAAATCTGAGCAATTGGGTCAGCACAGATTCTCTGAATTACTTATTTCTGATCATCAGTGCCCTTTGTCATCAGGTCATGGGCTCTATGGGAGTGCTAAGGAAAGAATCAAGTTGTACAATCATCTTGGCTCCACATGGTTTGTATTTGGTTACATCTTTATCATAACAGCTTAGTGCTTGGGTTTGCCTGACTCATAAGCTCAAGCTTTCAGAAGCTGATTACTCTGTAATGGATTGAATTGTAAATGGCATCTCAATGAGTAAAATAACTGTTATTTTCATTTTTATTTCCCCGTATCCAAACCTAATTTTTTTGTTTGATTACTGTTGCTGATTTTTGGTGTAGGCAGAGCTGGAAGATGTGGATGTGGCTAGAGGATTAAAAATATTGTTTTTTCCTGGTTTCAAATATTATATATATTTACTGTAGAAAACATGGAAAAAGCTAACAAATTATGATGAAGTTAATAGAAACATCCAAAAATGTCACCACTCAGAGTCATTCATTTGTAAGATTCTTGTTTAATTTTTTTCTTTTATTTACTATATAACTATATACTTCTTTTTTATTTAAAAAAAGTACTATTCTGTGACCTGTTTTATTGCTTGTGTTAAGCATATTTGTTCATCTGTTAAGTATTTATTGAGTGCTTTCAACTATACATTTCTAAGTCACTACAAGATATTCACCATGGTTCATGTTTTACTAACTTGTGATCAACAAAGGATGGGAGGGATATAGCTTTTTTTTTCTTTTGTATGTGTGTCACTGATTCAGCTCAATCATACATCTGAGTTATCCCTAATTGGGTTTCTAAAGACTCTTAAATTTGAAGAATTCATAAAAATCAGCAGGTATGATCATTGTTTTTGTCAGTGAGTATGTGAGTCACTTTTATATTAATTTTTTTCAACTTAAAGAATGACTAGCCATCACTACTGAGTATGTAAAGAATCTGTAGTACAATAGATAAATACCTCATGGCAACAAACTCTCTTTTCTACAACTTTAATACTTTTAAATCATACAATATTTTTATAAAAAATTATCAGAAAAACCATTATGTCCACTTTTTCCTTTATAGTCAATACATTCAACAAACATTTTAAAGAACCTTTAACATACAAGACACTGAGCAGGAGAATACATGATTCTTAATCATTGAGAGTTTACATTCTAGTTGGGGACTGTATTAGTCTGCCCAGGCTGCCATAACTAACAGAACACCACAGACTGAGTGGCTTAAAGAACAGAAATTCATTTCTCACAATTCTAAAAGCTAGAAGTCCCAGATCAAGGTGTTGGCGGATTCAGTTTCTGGTGAGGCCTCTCTTTCTGGCTTGTAGATGGCCTCCTTCTTGCTGTGTCCTTTTCTCTGGGTACACAGGGACAGGAAGGGAGAGGGAGGCGGGAGAGAGAGAGAGAGAGAGAGACAGAGATCTCTGGTGTCTCTTCTTCTTTTAAGAACACTAGTCATATCAGATTAAGGTCCCATGCTTATGACCTCATTTAATCTTAAGTACTTCCCTAAAAGTCTTATATCCAAATACAATCATTGGGGGTTAGGACAACATATGAATTTTAGGGGGACACAGTTCACAGGGAACCAGTCATGAATATAATTGTCTAACTTTTAAATGGTGCCATATGAAGATATAAATGAAGTGCTATACTTAATTTTGATTGGGGACTGAGGTTCCCAATCAAAGCTTCACAGATGAATTAGCATTTTAGTTTGTCTTAGACACAGACCCTGATATGAAGATTCATGTGCAAGCGAAGAAGTGCTCCCAGAAGAAACTAGTAAGGAAAGGGGTGAAGCAGAACAGGGAACAGAAAGAAGCCAAGCATAAGGGTGAGATTTCAGGCAAAGTCCTGGAGAGGCAGTTTTAGCCTGATATTGCAGGAGGACCCTAGAGTTTTGAGTTTTACCTTAGGGTTGGCCTGAGTCAAAGGAAAGTGAGCTTGATTTTTATGCTCCTGTACCAGTCAGTCAGGGGCTAAGGGCTGCCCTGGGGTGAGGCTGGGGAGAGGGGGCAGGACATAAACTCCCAGGCCCTCTGAGCTCTGCTTCTATGAGCACAATGGCTCCAGCAGTTTCAGGACAGTCCTGTGAAGTGAGTTATAGGTACAAGCTATTAGAAGCACAAGCTGAGAGGCCAGGAGAAACACAAACAGCAGTGGTAAAAGAGATCTGAGAGGCTATGGGTGAAACATTGACTGCGTTCTCTACAGTGATGGGCATTGAAAGGAAAGAGTAGAATTTCAACAGATTTGAAAATAGGAAAGAAGATTCTAGACCTGTGCTGTCCAATATATTAGTCTCCAGTCATATATGACTAGTGGCTTCTGTATTGGACCATGTAGATATAGAACATGTCCCTCAACAGAAAATGTTCTATTAGACAACACTCTATCTAGACTAAGGATAGTATGAATAAAATTACAGAAAGGTGAAGGAGGAAGTAGTTTACTAGGAATATATGACCAAGATAGTTGACCAAAACATAGACTGTGATCAAATTACAAAAAGCTTTAGAAGCATTGATCCATTAATTGTAGCATTTAAAAAATAGACATTGTTCAATGGGAACTTACTATTTTAAGGGCTCACCCTAAAAGTATATGTAAAAGTTGGAGTACCTCGTTTGCAATCCTGTATGGCCTCCATACCTGGCCTTATACTAGGTTTCTTTGTACCTTTAGTTGAAGACATTGTCTCTTATTTGGTCTTCTGACCACTCTTTTCCTTTACCTGGCCTCTTCTTCAGCCATTACTCCATCACTCGTTCCATTGCCTCCTCTCTTAGATCTAGGCTTGAATCTTTAATCCTGATTCTGCAGAGTTTAGATTTCCTACCTAGCGTTTTGAATTTCCTACTCTTTCTTATCAACTTTCTCCCACTTAGTCCCAATTGCATATAAATCCCCACTTGTATGTATAAAAGACTAGAAAATGTTAGGAGGTAGAATGAGGCAAAATCAGGTTAATGGATTCTGGAGTCCTGAGCATGTAGATAGACTATGGGCAAACAGTCAGAGGAGATAGAGAAATGAATGAAACAAAATAGAGGGGAGATAATAAATGGAATAAGAAAACGTTAGAGAGCAAGCTTTTCTGTATTGTTGAAAATAATCTCTGCCTTGATTTCTAGGGGAAAGATTGTATTCCCCATCTACACTGTCTGCATTAAAAGGGAAACCAAGGCTACTGGATTATTACGTCCTTGTTGTTCCCATGCTTCTTGTAGAGTAAAATCTCAATAAACTTCATCCCTTTATCAATCTACATTTTTTTCTGTACGGAAATTTATGAGAAGGAAGTGACAGACTTGCAAGCTTAAATCATGGGCTTTTTAAATTAAAAATTATATTACTTGAACAATCCTAAAATTTATATGGAACCAAGAATGAACCCAAGTAGCCAAAGCAATCCTAAGCAAAAAGAACAAAGCTGGAGGCATCACATTACCTGACTTCAAATTATACCACAATGCTATAGTAACCAAAACAGCATGTTATAAAAATACACACAGTTCAATGGAAGAGAATAGAGAACTGAGAAATAAAGCCACATATCTATAGCCAATTGATCTTTGATAAAGTCGACAAGAGTATACACTGGGGAAAGGACACCCTTTTCAATAAATGGTGCTGGGAAAAGTGGGTTGCTATATGCAGCAGGATGAAACATGACCCCTATCTCTCACTATATATAAAAATCAAGGAGCTCAAACAACTAAATTGGAAAAAAATCTGATATTCCAATTTAAAAATGGGCAAAAGACTTGAATAGATATTTCTCGAAAGAAGATATACAAATGGGAAACAGAGTTATGTGAAAAGGTGTTCAATATCATTGATCACCAAAGACATGCAAATCAAAACTATAATGAGATATCATCTCATCCCAGTTTAAATCACTTTCATTCAAAAGACAGGCAATAATGAATACTGGTGAGGATGTGGAAAAAAGGGAAAGCTTGTACACTGTTTGTGGGAGTGTAAATTAGTACAGTCACTATGGAGAACGTATGGAGGTTCCTCCAAAAACTAAAAATAGAACTACCATATGATCCAGCAATTCCACTGCTAGGTATATATCCAAAAGAAATGAAATCAGTATATCAAAGAGATATCCACACTCCGATATATACGGCAGCACTATTCCCAACAGCCAAGATTTGGAAGCAACTTTAGTGTCCATCGACAGCCAAATGATAAAGAAGATGTGGCACATATATACAATGTAGTACTATTCAGTCTTAAAAAACAATGAGATCCTGTCATTGCAACAATGTGGATGGAACTGAAGGACATTATGTTAAGTGAAATAAGCCAGGCCCAGAAACACAAACTTTGCATGTTCTAACTCATTTGTGGGAGCTAAAAATGAAAAAAAAAAATTGAACTATTGGAGAGAGAGAGTAGAATGGTGGTCACCAGAGGCTGGAAAGGATAGGGGGTTTGGGGGGAGAAGTGGAGGTGGTTAATGGCTATAAAAATATAGTTAGAAATAATAAATAAAATAATAAATAAAATCTAGTATGTGATAACACAAGGTGACTACAGTCAACAATAATTTATTGTACATTTAAAAATAACTGAAAGAATATAATTGGTATGTTTGTAACACAAAGAAATAATAAATGCTTGAGGTGATGGATACCCCATTTATCCTAATGGGATTATTACACATTGTATGCCTATATCAAAATATCTCAGCTATCCCATAAATATATACACCCATGTATCCATAAAAGTAAAAACATCTTTAAAAATCAACTCAAGATGAATTAAAGCCTTAAAATTAAGAGTTGAAACTATAAAAGTACTAGAAGAAAACCTAGAGAAAACTCTTAGACATTGGTGTAGGCAATGAATTCATGACTAAGAACTCAAAAGCACAAGCAATAAAAATGAAAATAGACAAATGGGACTTAATTAAACTAAAAATCTTCAGCACAGTCAAAGAAATAATCAGCAGACTGAACAGACCACCTGCAGAATGGGAGAAACTGTTTACAAACTATGCAAGGACTAATATCCAGAACATACAAGGAACTCAGCCCAACTACAACAACGACAAAAACACAAATAACCCCATTAAAAAGTGGGCAGGGTACATGAATAGATATTTTTGGAAAGAAGACATACAAATGGCCATTTAGTACATGCAAAAATGTTCAACCTCACTAATCATCAGATAAATGCAAATTAAACCACAATGAGATATCATCTTACACCAATCAGAATGGCTATTATAAAAAAGATAAAAAATAACAGATGTTGGCAAGGATGTGGGGAAAAGGGAACTCTTATACACTGTTAGTGGGAATGTAAATTAGTACAGCCTCTATGGAAAACAGTATGGACAGTTCTTGAAGAACTAAAAATAGATCTACCATTTGATCCAGCAATCCTACTACTGTATATCTATGCAAAGGAAAATAAATTATCATATTAAAAAGATTCCTGCACTTGCATGTTTTTCGCAGTGCTGTTCACAATTGCAAAGATATGGAATCAATCTAAGTGTCTATCAACAGATGATTGGATAAAGAAAATGTAGCATATATACATAATGGAATACTACTCAGCCATTAAAAGAAAGAAATCGTCTTTTCCAGCAAGATGGATGGAAATGGAAGCCATCATTGTAAGTGAAACAACTCAGAAAGAGAAAGTCAAATAACGCATGTTCTCCCATAAGTGGGAGCGAAATTTTGTATACACATGGACATAGAGTATGGAATAATAGGCATTGAAGACTTGGGAAAGTGGGGGGGAGTGAAACGGGGGAGTTAAACAGGGGAGATAATGAGAAATTTCTTAATGGGTATAATATAAATTATTCAGCTGATGAATACACTAAAAGCCCAGATTTTGCCACTGCTCAATATATCCATGTAACAAAATTACACTTGTACTCTTTAAATTTATACAAATTAAAAAAATTAATCATAGTAAAATATATATAACATCAAAACATCTTGACCATTTTTAGGTGTACATAAACTTTAGTGTTAAGAATGTTTACACTGTTGCACAACCGATCTCTGGAACCTTTTCATCTTGAAAAACTGAAACTCTATACCCATTAAACAATTTCGTATGCCCCCCAGCCCCTGGCAACCATTGTTCTATTTTCTCTTTCTATGAATTCAATTACTCTAAGTACCTCATATTTAGAATCATACAGTATTTCTTTTTTTGTGACTGGCTTATTTCACTTAACTTAATCTCCTCATGATTCATCCATGTTGTAGTATAGGTCATAATTTCCTTCATTTTAAAGGCTGAATAATATTTCCTCATGTATATATACACATTTTGCTTATCCATTTGTTAATCAATGGACACCTGGGTTGGTTCCACCTTTTAGCTATTGTGAATAATGCTTCTGTGAATACAAATCATGTAATTTTTACGAATAATCATTGAGAATAGATCTTTAGTTGGTAAATCAACATCTTTTTTAACATCACTTAGGTTTAATAATCACAATGGTAACCTGAAAGCACACCAAGATATTTTAAGCCATTGAAAATATTTGTTTGAAGGCAGAATTTCTTGTTAAGATATTTCATTATTTGTGTTCTTTGTCCTGGGCCATAGAGTCATAGTGATCACAGTTCAGAAGACTATTTTTTTTTAATGTCACAAACCTGCACATTGTGCACATGTACCCTAGAACTTAAAGTATAATAATAAAAAAAAACCAGAAGACTATTTTTAAGATATTTATTATCTTTCTCTGCTGTCAGGTTACCATTATTTAAGAAGTATTAAATTACATTCTGTGCACTATACTTTTTAAAGCAGAAAACTAGTCTAACACATAATAGCATGACTTTCAATAAACATTGAAAGAAAAATTGATTATGGATAACATTTAATCTAACCAGAAAATTCTCTTCATCAGAACATAATAAGCCTTCCAATGCTTATTGACCATATTAAAACTATAAAGTATTGTGCTTCAAAGGGTGCAAACCCTTGATTTAATCACATGTTGAAAGGCTAAAAATGGCATTTGCGTGTAGTTAATTTGGGGTAGTTTGTCCTCAACCAGATGCAAGAACAACATGATTTCAAATAGGTCCTTTCAGAGCTGAACTTAACCCCAATACATGAAGCGAATCTTTTTAGAAAGATGATTTTCTCAGCCAGTTCAGCCAACTTTCACCAACCATAATTTTTACTGTCATGAATGCCTTCTCTTAAGATTTTTATTCCTTTTTTTGGAATCTGCTAAATTGCATGGTGAGGTCTTTTTTCACCACATACTCACTTGTGGTCCCAAGCCCACTGAAGGCCTTGCAGCGTGTCTGTGCAGCTGATAAACAAGCTCACAAAACAGTTACAGTGAACAACAAAAATCCCTGATTTTCTAAGTTCAGTGGTCTCTTCAGTGTGGGAGAAGGAATGTGTGATACTGGGCGAAATAGCAAATATTCAGGCTTTTAAATGTATCATTCTGGGAAAAAATGTTTTAAAAAATACAGTCAAACCTGTTCGTTTTATTAACTCAAAGTGGATCTCAGTATAGCTTGATTCACAATTTTATTTCTTCAGTCCTTTTAGCCTTGTCAAGGTATTTATATTTGACCTGTAACTACTCCCCTTCAAGGAGTGACTATTATAATATCCTGACCTTCTGCCTGTTTAAACTTCTCAATGTGAAAATCAGCAGGGCTAGCTTCCTAGATAAAAGTACTTGCTTTTATATTTTCTATATCTCAGCAGCCTTGAAAAGGGACTGTGACAGATACAAGAGACCAAGATGCAAATATCTGAGCCTGCAGGCAGAGCTTGTGTCATGGCCATGGTTTCCTACATTAAATCCCATCCATGAGTGGGTAATATCTGTTCTCTCTCATTCCAGTTCCTTTCAGAGGGATATAATTTTGTCACATGGGCACTGTCCACTAAACCAGCCAGAACAGACAGTGAGTTGTATGATTGTGTATATGGGCAAGGGACTTGGGAGGAATTTGAGGCTGTGGTACATGGTGATCCCCAAATGGGGAGAGATTTCCTGGAAACTGAACTTCAGCCGAAACCCAGAAGTTTAAAAAAGGTAAGAAAGTAAATGTCAGTTTATACCACTGGAATAAGTTATTGACAGTGGATTAGGGCAAAAAAAATTATAGTAATTATCTCCATATCCCTATCAACTATTTTTTTAATAACTTAATAATATCACTATTAGGTTTTAGAATAGTTTATCAATGTTTATATTTGAGAGTGCATGGAAATAGAATATTTTAAAAAGTGAAAACATACAATATAAACCATTTGGTTGTCTGCCTAGTTAGTTTATTTTCCTGCCTACCTTTTTTGGGTTCACTAATCTCAGTGGGAACTCTGTAAACTTGTCACATGATTCTTACTGACTTGAGAACTGCAAATGAAAAATATTTGCAGAAGATGAGGCTTATCATCTTGTCTCTTTTCTCTTTTTATCTACTTTAAAACTGGGTATTTGCTTTTTTTTTTTTTTTGCTTCACTCTGGCTACTGTAACATATGATAGGTGCATGTATGATTCCTTTCCTACATATCCTCAAATATTTCTTTCTCCTGAGAACATTCAGAAGGTAGGAAAACATGAAAAATGATTATAGAAGTCTTAATTCAGAAGATCTGGATTCAAGTTCTAACTCTATTACTTATCAACTTTGCGATTTTTGATAAATTTCTCCACCTTTCTCTGCAACCTAAGAGTAATACCTGTCTCAAAAGTTATTTTATGGATTAAATGATATGATGGATGTCAAACACTGGGGAAGTTGTAACAAACCACACAAGTCCAAGACATTATCAAGGTTGGGCGTGGTGGCTCACATCTACAATCCCAGCACTTTGGGAGGCTGAAGCTAGAAGATGGCTTGAGGTCAGGAGTTCAAAACCAGCCTGGGTGACAAAGTGAGACCCCATGTCAAAAAAATAAATAAATAAAGATGATATTATCAATATAAGATTTAGGGTTGGTAAACTCAAAAGACACTAAACAAATAATTTCCTATTCTGGGATTAAAATAATTAAAATTAAATAATTAATTTCCTATTCTGGGATTAAAATAATATGATAGTATTAAAATAATAATGATATGGTGAATATATTAACAGATAATTGATCATGAGTCTCTAGATACTCTTCAAGGCATGATTTTATTAATCTTAACTATAATTCTGTGAGTTAGTTACTATTCTTCTATTTTACAGATATGGAAAACACGAGGCTGGGCAACCCTGTTTATATTTCTAGTAGGAACAAGTGGCTTGATGGTCTGCAGTTTTAACCACTATTCTATACTGGTTCTCTGCTACTAACAGATTATTATATATATATAATAGAGATTATGCTCCCAAGAACTCTGTGATATATCTTGGGAACTTCAAAGACAATATCATGATACTACCATTGGTTCTGATGGCTAATGTTTGTGACAGAGATTTATAATATTTTTGAGATTTAGCGCATAAGTTAATAAGAGGAAGCATGTTTTAAGTGCTTACTGTAAGCCAGACAGACACTACTCTAAATAACATTTACATATTGCACATTGAATCCTTTTAGGCCAGCAAGGTAAGCTATTCTTTAAAACCACACTCATTTTACAGATGAGGAAACTATTGCACAAAGAGGCTAAGTAACTTGCTCAGAGTTATACAGTCAATAAGAGGAAGAACAGGGACTTGACATGTCCAGCCTGGCTCTAGAGGCCCGTGTTCTTTTTGTTACCTTTTATTTTTACTTGTCACATAATTGTACATATTTATGAGAGACAGAGTAATATTTCAATACATGTATACAACGTGTGATGATCAAATCAGGGTAATCAGTGTACCTTTCATCTCAAACATTAATCCTTCCTTGTGTTGGGAACATTCAAAATCCTCTCTTCTAGCTTTTTGAAAATATACAAGAAATTGTTGTCGTCTGTATTCCCTGAACAGTGGTATAGAACTCTAGAATTTATGGCTGCTCTCTAGCTGTAATTTTGTATCCATTAATCAAGCTGTCCCTATCCTGCCCTCCTCCTCTCCACCTCCAACAGCCCATGTTTTAAACCATTACACTAAGTCCCTGATCATCTGTGAATATGAAGACATATCCATAGAGTACCTGATTCATTTTATTTGATCCTAAATAACAGACTTCAGTGTTGATGTCAGTCTTTTCAGTCATCAGTTACATATGCAGAAAACATACATATTCATTATTTCCACATTCATGAGATGCTGTCTCACACAACATTTACATTATTTCCCTAAGCTTCTTGTATATGGGGAAAATAAATCATTTAGAAAATGCGACTAAGATGAATAAATCCTATCACCTTGCCTTTTCTTTTTAATTCTGCTTCTTAGGAAGCCAGATGATTAGAGGGCAATAAGCTTAGTCTTTATAATCCTGGCTCTAGCCTACTAGCCAGAGAGGAGTGTGACCTCACACAGGATACTTAATGTCTCCAAGTCTTAGTTTTTTTTGTTCATAAAATACAGATTCAGTGCTTAAAGGATTCTTGTGAAGAATAGAGAGACCATTATGTCAAGTGTCTCCTTACAGTATAAACCTAATAAATATTGATTCCTACCTTTTTTTGCTTCTACCGGAATTCACTTGTTGTCTAAGCACTTTAACATTCTGCTTTTAAAACTCCTAAAACCACCAATTCATCTGAATTTCTCAGAATATCTGATATCTAGAAAAGTTTTTAAGGACATTCAAAACATTAGTGATTTTCACATACCTAGCAATACAGACAGTCGCAGGGGGTATCTGATGCCCTAAAGGGTGGCCTCATGATAAAATCTATGTGAAGAATATTCTAGCCATCTCAATGGCTGATTACTTTAGCTCATATGAGTTACATTTATCATGAAAACCATCAAAATAATTTGTTTGGAATAATGTTATATGTCCTGGCCCTTACAGTCATAGTGATCACAAGTTCAGAGGCTATTTTTCAAATAGAGAAGCAGGGAATGTTAAGGAACAATTCTGGCTGCTGTAACTGGCTGTATATTTAATTTGGTTTTGTTTGTTAGGAACTGATATTCCTGAACAGAGAAAGATTATCAAAATTTTGTTGAATAAGGAAGAGTACTTCCCAAACAGGAGAGGCTCCTGGAAACTTTAAGAAAGGGGATTCTAAAGGTTATTTTCTCAAGAATATAGACATCAATGTGTCTTCAATTTTAAAAGGTTTTTGGGGAAAATTTTCTAATATGGTCTGACACACAGACTTGCTGCTCAAGAGAGACTATAACAAAAAGTACTTTCTTGTTGGATCTGGCAAAATCAAAGAAATTAGATTATGGAAGGGACCCCTGAGGGAGCTAGAGCATCTCCAGAGAGAAGAGAAAAACAAAGAAAAATTGGAGAATGCTTTTCAACATTCAAAGATTAAAAAATAATTTGAAAAGAAAGAAAACTACAGTGATCTTATTGCATTACCAGGGAGGAAAGAAAGAAAAAGACCCCCAGCTAAAGAAGTGATGATTATATGCCAAACCAACTTTGTCCAGCTACAGACTACTAAAATAAAAGGTCAAAGCACAAAAGGCTTTCTGGACAACCTCATACGGAGGTTAAGGCTGTTATCTGAAAGGGACAATTTGCAAACATAGAAGAAATTATCTACGAATCAATCTATTTCTATAAACAAGATAAACTTTACATATTAACAAACTGACTTAGAGCCAAGCCAAACCATCAGGCTTCCTGAAAACATAGGAAATGGCAGAAACTCAGTTAAAGCCAATGCACAAAGGAAAGTAGTGTGAAAATCAAGCAGTGGAAAGCCCTGTCCAATCTCCAGACAACCACAACAGAAAAATGTTGACACTTGGAAGCAAGACAGTAATAGGCCCTTAGTACAGTGAGAAACTGTGGTGGTGGTGGTGGTAGTGGATGGTATGGGTACAGTAACATTTTTGAGAGTAGAATTGTCCATGATTTTTGGTCAATTATTCCCAATAAACTAAATTTTTACAAAAATGTCTTTAAAAGAAAAATATAACTACATAAACCATTGACTTACGTCTAAATATTGCTCTAAGGTATGAGTAGTTATCCTTTAAAAGCAGAAAACATCTTAATTCACAGCATTTTAAATAGTTACTAAATTATTCATGAAGTTGGGTAATGCCATAGTTTGAAAATTTGTCCCCTCCAAATTTCATGTTACAATGTGATCCCCAGTGTTGAAGGTGGGCCTAGTGGGAGGCGTTTGGGTCATAGGGGACGGATCCCTCATAAATGAGTTGGTGCTATCCTTGTGGTTATGAGTTCTTGCTCTATTAGTTCACACAATAGCTGGTTGTTTAAAAGAGTGTTACACTTCCTCCCCTCTCTCTTGCTCCCTCTCTTGCCATGTGACATGTCTGCTCCCTCTTTGCCTTCCATCATGATTGAAAGCTTCCTGAGGTCTCACCAGAAGCAAATGCTGGTGCCATGCTTTCTGTATTATCTGAAGAACAATGAGCCAAATACACCTCTTTTCTTTATAAATTACCCAGTCTCAGGTTTTCCTTTAGAGCAATACATAATGGACTAACATAGGTAATAAGATGTGTAATATGCAGGATAGGATTTTGAATGAGACTAATCCATTGTGAATGGATTGGAATTGTGAATTATCAGTTTCCCGATAAGGGAACCATAAGTCCACTTAACCAGGTAGGACTTTGCAATGCATCTGTTGGTCACAAGCCTAACTGTATTTAAGTATACAGGAAAAATTGAAAAGGGAAAATATAGGACTTGAAGTAAAGGTTAATTAACTAGAAAAACTTCCTGCCAGGTGAAGAAATTGCCCATCAAAGCAATGGTTGGCTGGGAGATTCATAAGAGCTTTGAGACTGCCAAAAATATTTGGATACTCTTTGGAATACTAAGTTAAATTTGATGATCAAACACTTGAACACTTTCTGTCAAAAAGTAGAATTGCTCCTCTCAATATTTACTCAGTTGAAATACTTCTGACATGCATGAAATTTAACTTCACAGGACTGTTTATTTTGGTGAAAATATTGGTATTTAGAGATGCAGCATTATACATAAAAATAAATAAACCGTGGTTTCTATCTGAGTGAGGGTGCTGTGAGGTGCACTTGATTTGATTTTTTTTTAGAAAATAGGTCATGTTAAACTTGGACAAGAACACACTTTGATGAACATATTTTTGGCAGAGGTATTGAGTGAAATATATTAACTTTAAGTTTAAGGTGATAGTGTGATCCGTGCTATTGAACTTCCCAAGGGACAACCTGAAAGAAAAAATGAAATATTTATGTGAAATTATAGCTAGCTCATCCTTGGAGTGCTAGAGAGACTATATTGTCAGGGAATGTTGATCTCAGCATTTCCCATGTAACCAGCACAGTTCTGGCAACTCACTTAGTAATATCCAGAAAGTCTTACAGTTTTAAAACCAAATAATAAATATACCAAAATTCAATAAATATGGCTGTAATCAGTTAACTTTTGCTGTGTAACAAACTACCTTAAAACTTAGCAACTTAAAATAACAGTCATTTACCGGGCTTTCTTCATGGGCCGCTATTCTGGGCTAGGCTCAGCTGGGCAGTTCTCATCTTGCTGGTCTTTGCTAGTGTTACGGGCTGAATTACATCTCTTCCTTTTCAAAAATATGTATATGCTGGAGTCTTAATCCCCAGTACCTCAGATTGATACAGTATTTGAGATAGGATCTCTACAGAAGAAATTAAGTGAAAATAAAGTCATTACGGTGAACACTAATCCAATATGACTGATGTTCTTCTAAAAAGAGGAAACTTGAGCACAGACTTGTACAGAGGAAGATAATGTGAACAAATGGGGAAAATGCCATTTGAACCTGAAGACAGGTGTCTACAAGCCCAGGAGAGAGAACTGGAACAGATTCTTCTTTCATAGCCCTCAAAAACAAACAAAAAAACCAAAAAGACACACAAAACACAATACTGCCTAATCTTGATTTCAGACTTCTAACTTCCAGAACCGTGAGAAAGTAAGTTTACGTTGGTTGAGCTCCCCTGTGTGTGGTGTTACAGGCTTTGTTACAGCAGCCCTCTCAAACAAATACAGCAGGGCTCTTTCATGCATCTGCAGGTGCTGGTGGGTTGGCCAGCCTGGCTGGTTGTGATGGCATCAGCTGGGATATCTGAAAGAATTGGGGCCTCTCTCCATGTGGTCTCTCTAATCCTTCAGCAGGCTAGCCAAGCTCATTCATATAGCATTTTCAAATTTCTTTTTTTTTTATTATACTTTTAAGTTCTGGGTTACATGTGGAGAATGTGCAGGTTTGTTACATAGGTATACATGTGCCATGGTGGTTTGCTGCACCCATCAACCCATCACCTACATTAGGTGTTTCTCCTAATGTTATCCCTTCCCTAGCTCCCCATCCTTCATAGGCCCCAGTGTATGATGTTCCCCTCCCTGTGTCCATGTGTTCTCATTGTTCAGCTCCCACTTATGAGTGAGAACATGTGGTGTTTGGTTTTCTATTCTTGTGATAGTTTGCTGAGAATGATGGTTTCCAGCTTCATCCATGTCCCTGCAAAGGACATGAACTCATCCTTTTTTATGTCCGTGGTATATATGTGCCACATTTTCTTAATCCAGTCTATCATTGATGTACATTTGTGTTGGTTCCAAGTTTTTGCTATTGCGAATAGTGCTGCAATAAACATACGTGTGCCTGTGTCTTTATAGTAGAATGATTTATAATCCTTTGGGTATAGGCCCAGGAATGGGATGGCTGGGTCAAATGGTATTTCTGATTCCAGATCCTTGAGGGATTGCCATACTGTCTTCCACAATGGTTGAACCAATTTACACTCCCACCAACAGTGTAAAAGCATTCATATTTTTCCACAACCTCCCCAGCATCTGTTGTTTCCTGACTTTTTAATGATCGCCATTCTAACTGGCATGAGATGGTATCTCATTGTGGTTTTGATTTGCATTTCTGTAATGTCCAGTGATGATGAGCATTTTTTCGTATGTCTGTTGGGTGTATAAATGTCTTCTTTTGAGAAGTGTCTGTTCATCTTCTTTGCCCACTTTTTGATGGGGTTGTTTGCTTTTTTCTTGTAAATTTGTTTAAGTTCTTTGTAGATTCTGGATATTAGCCCTTTGTCTGATGGATGGATTGCAAAAATTTTCTCCCCTTCTGTAGGTTGCCTGTTCACTCTGATGATAGTTTCTTTTGCTGTGCAGAAGCTCTTTAGTTTAATTAGATCCCATTTGTCAATTTTGGCTTTTGTTGCCATTGCTTTTGGTGTTTTAGACATGAAGTCTTTGCCCATGCCTATGTCCTGAATGGTATTGCCTAGGTTTTCTTCTAGGATTTTTATGGTCCTAGGTCTTACATTTAAGTCTTTGATCCATCTTGAGTTGATTTTTGTATAAGGTGTATGGAAGGGGTCCAGTTTCAGTTTTCTGCATATGGCTAGCCAGTTTTCCCAACACCATTTATTAAATAGGGAATCTTTTCCCCATTGTGTGTGTCAAGTTTGTCAAAGATCAGATGGTGGTAGATGTGTGGTGTTGTTTCTGAGGGCTCTGTTCTGTTCCATTGGTCTATATATCTGTTTGGTACCAGTACCATGCTGTTTTGGTTACTGTAGCCTTGTAGTAAAGTTTGAAGTCAGGTAGCGTGATGCCTCCAGCTTTGTTCTTCTTGTCCAGGATTCTGTTGGCTATGCGGGCTCTTTTTTGGTTCCATATGAAGTTTAAAGTACTTTTTTCCAATTCTGTAAAGAAAGTCAATGGTATTTTGATGGGGATAGCATTGAATCTATAAATTACTTTGGGCAGTAAGGCCATTTTCATGATATTGATCCTTCCTATCCATGAGCATGGAATATTTTTCCATTTGTTTGTGTCCTCTCTTATTTCCTTGAACAGTGGTTTGTAGTTCTCATTGAAGAGATCCTTCACATCCCTTGTAAGTTGTATTCCTAGGTATTTTATTCTCTTAGTAGCAATTGTGAATGGGAGTTCACTCATGATTTGGCTCTCTGTTTGTCTGTTATTCGTGTATAGGAATGCTTGTGATTTTTGCACATTGATTTTGTATCCTGAGACTTTGCTGAAGTTGCTTATCAGCTTAAGGAGATTTTGGACTGAGATGACGGGGTTTTCTAAATATACAGTCATGTCATCTGCAGAGAGAATTTGACTTCCTCTCTTCCTATTTGAGTACCCTTTATTGCTTTCTCCTGCCTGATTGCCCTGGCCAGAACTTCCAGTGCTATGTTGAATAGGAGTGGTGAGAGAGGGCATCCTTGTCTTGTGCCTGTTTTCAAAGGGAATGCTTTCAGATTTTGCCCATTCAGTATGATATTCGCTGTGGGTTTGTCATAAATAACTCTTATTTTGAGATACACTCCATGGATACCTAGTTTATTGAGAGTTTTTAGCATGAAATGCTGTTGAATATTGTCGAAGGCGTTTTCTGCATCTATTGAGATAATCATGTGTTTTTTGTCGTTGGTTCTGTTTATGTGATGGATTATCTTTATTGATTTGCATATGTTGAACCAGCCTTGCATCCCAGGGATGAAGCCAACTTGATTGTGGTGGATAAGCTTTTTTATGTGCTGCTGGATTTGGTTTGGCATTTCCAAGTATGTAAGAAAGCAAGAGCAAAAGGTGTAAGGCCTCTTAAGTCTTATAACTGGCACAACATCACTCTTACGGTAATTCATTGATCAAAGCAAGTCCCAGGGTATGTACAGCAATGGCTGGGAAAATAGACTCCACCTCTTGTTGGAAGACACAAGGTGTTGTAGAGATTTTTGCCAGTTACCATAATGCCCATTTAACATTATAGCACTGAACCTTTTCCAGAGATCAGAAATATGGGACTACATTATGCTCCAATATCAATTCTGGAAATCTCTTAAAGGGAACTTTCTGTCAAAATTATCCTGAGGCTAAGCTGGGCATGGGGATGCATTCCTGTAGTTCCAGCTACTCTGGAGGCTGAGGAGGGAGGAGGATCCCTCAAGTCCAAGAGTTCCAGGCCAGCTCAGACCACATAGTGAGACCCCCCTTCTATCAAAAAAAAAATTATACTGAAGCCAATATCTAAGTAACACAGACTAGGTTGTTGAACATCATAGGTGATTTTAAGTGTATTCCATTTCCATAAACAACTAGTATTTCAAGCATATACTAACATAAAAGGACTGAATCACTATATTAAGAAAAGGCAACATCTCTACTTGACAGGCTTATTAGATACAAGTTTTATGGACAGAACTAAGGGCATAGTAAATTATAATAATTGTTTACTTAGTGGTAAGTAATTATTTACTATAATTATTATTATAATTTACTATGCCTTTAATTGTTTAATTCTGTCCATAAATTATTTATATTATTTATTCTGTCCATTAATTTATTTATAAATTAAACAATTAAAGGCATAGTAAATTTATTATTTTAAAAATAGTAAATTATTACTTGTTGAAACTGCCTTTCCCAAGTTCAGATCATTAAAAGTAGAGTTCAGCTACTTTGCTTGAACACAAAAGACTGTCTAGAATCACCAATATTACCTTTTAAAATATCTCCCTTTGATTGATAACTATTTAATTCACTTATTGAATAAATATTATGGTGAGGGACTTATTACTTGCAAGGTCCTAGTAACATAGCAGTGAATAAAATGGACCTGATCCCTACTCTCATAGAACTTTAGCAAAGAAAATATTAAGTCAATAAGAGCACACATAAAAATATAATTAAAATTGTAAAAAGTTCTGACTATTACATAAAGTATGCAATAAAATCTCATTCATTCAATAAGCATATATTGAAGAGCTTATTATGAGGTAATGTGCTAGGCACTGGGAATGCCAAGGTGAATGAGTCAGACCCATCCCTTTATTTTAGAATGAGAGACAGATGAAAAACCAATTAGTTAACTAATTAAAAATAAACAAACACTTATCATTGTTATAACTTGTGGTAAGTGCTATGAGAAAACAAACAAGAAAAGGACAAAGTGGGGCTGTCTTTAGAGGCTGTGATCTGATGAGAACTGGCAGAGAAGGTGATATCTAAGCTGAAATCTACAGATGAAGGGTAGGCAATTCCCAGGCAGAAGAAACAGAAAATGCAAAGGCCAGAGAGGTGAATGATTTTGATATGATGCAGCAGGAATCTTAACTGAAGACCAGTGATCACCACGGTTGGAGGGTAGTGAGGCAGGTGGGGCAGGAGCCAGATCACGTTTGGATTTTATTCAAACGAAGTGAGAAGGAACTGAAAGAATTTTTTTTTTTTTTTCTTTTTGTGACGGAGTCTTTCTCTGTGGCCAGGCTGGAGTACAGTGGCAATCTCGGCTCACTGCAACCTGCGCCTCCCGGGTTCAAGCGATTCTCCTGCCTCAGACTCCCAAGTAGCTGGGACTACAGGCACGTGCCACCACGCCCAGCTAATTTTTGTATTTTTAGTAGAGACGGGCTTTCACCATGTTGGCCCGGATGGTCTCGATCTCCTGACCTCGTGATCTGTCCGCCTCGGCCTCCCAAAGTGCTGAGATTACAGGCGTGAGCCACTGCGCACGGCCAACTGAAGGATTTTAAGCAGAAAGTGACATGACCCATTGTAAGAACAATCTGCTGCTGTGTACTTACTAGACTGAGAAAATTAGGAACAGCAGTAGTGAGACCACTTTTAAAGTTGCTGCAGTAGTTGAAGTGAAGAAGGACGGTAGCCTAGCCTAGGGCCATGGGATGGAGGAATAGACAGACAAGTGCGGGCTTATAATGAGAAGGCATGATGTGGAGTAGAAAGGTAAGGGAAGGCCTCTCTAAATAAATTTTATTTAAGGCGAGAACCGTTAGTGGAGGAATAAGAGAAAAGCCTTCATTCACATTGTAACAGCAGGACTGAATTAAGACGGAAAGAAGCCTTAAGTTCTGAAAAGATACTGCTCTTCCTTTTCCCCAGAAACATACACATCCTTAGGTAATTCAAAATTAAAACTGTGCTAAACCACTAAGTAGGTGTAAGCAGGTTCCACAAGATTCAGATTTTTTCCCATCACAACCATGTTCACGCTTTCACTTTTAAAATGTCACATATCAAATTATCTCAAGACAGTTTTGTTATGAAATCCTCAGCATCTGCTGAGTCTGTTTGTTTAAATCTGGCGTTTCACAAAGTCCCTGAAAAGGGAAAGTGTTTGAAGTGTTTGAAGCTGAAAGCATTATAGGAGTGCTGGGAAGGGAAGAGTGTGGTCCCTTTAAATGATATGGGAGTGTGGACAGGGAAGTGCTGGCTAGAGAAAGGCGCGTGGTCCCAGGCTAGGGCTCTACCCACACCGACCTAGGTGAGGACAGGCACTTCTGCCTTCGCTCGCAAATGTTGCATTTTCCAAGACCACCCTGGCCCGCCAAGCCCCCAATTCTGGGCCTATAAAAACCCGAGACCCTAGCAAGGCAGAGACTGAAGCTGCTGGACAGCGAGAGGAATACATCCGCGGAAGAAGACAAGCGGCTGGACATCTAGCGGGTGTTGAGGGGAGGACGTCGGTGAAACACCAACGTGTTTCACACACAACGTCGCTCAAACACTAGCGGGTGTTGAGGGGAGCACACCAACAGATGCCAGCACGCTGGCAGGCCATTGACCCGCAGAACAAGGCGGACTTTGGCCAGGGCAGTCTGAGAAGAGCCGGGCCATTGAGCCATCTGACTCCAGGGGAAAGCCATCTCCCTTCTGGCTCCCCCATCTGCTGAGAGCTACTTCTACTCAATAAAACCTTGCACACAATCTCCATGCCCATGTGTGATCCAGTTCTTCTGGTACACTAAGGCAAGAAAGCCTGGGATACAGAAAGCCCTCTGTCCTTGTGATAAGAAAGGGGATCTAATTGAGCGAACACAAGCCTTCCACAGACGGCTAAACCAAAAGATTACACTGTAACACATGCCCATGGGTTCTTCAGGAGCTGTAAAGATTCACCCCTAGACACTGCCGTGGGGTCCGAGCCCCACAGCCTGCCTGTCTGTGTGCTCCCCTAGACATTTGAGCAGCGGGGAACTGAAGAAGCAAGACACACACCCCCATCACATGCGCTGTGAGGGGGCAAGGGAACTTTTCCCATTTCAAAAGTAGGCTGCATCCCAGACATAGGCATGGGCAGACTATGCAGGGATCTGCAAATTAAATAGGGGACTGGACCTTAAAAACAAAGAAGGAGATATGATAGGATGTTCAAGAGCAAGAGAGATTAGGGAAGTTCAGGGAGGACATAACTGCAATAACTCAGGCGGGAAAATGGTGTGGTTTCTAACACAGGTGTTGGTGGCCATGGAGGAAAGTTTCCCTCAGAAGCCAGGTCAGATGTTTCTGGAGGTCAGTTCTCAGCAGAAATGAAGAGCTTACCTACTCTGGTTTTTAGAAAATATATTTATTTTTATACCATGTCTACATTTTGAATGGAGAAAAGCAGAGTCGAGAGTTACTTTAATTGGTACAAAGAAAACGTCAAAGACAATGTATTGGTCTACTGATTTCTTCCTTGAAAAAGCTAAAAAATGTCATTTCACATTTGGAAATGAACTCTCACTTTGTTCTGTTTTGATCGTATGGCTTGCTTTAAAGAATATACTGTAGCTACTCTGGTTTGTATGTCTTACAGTGGCTTTTAATATTCTGACCTTACCTATTATTCAGTTTTGACTGTACCAATGTAGTTTTTTCTTTTAATATTTTCATTTTCCTTGACTTTCCTATTAAGCTAAATTTGTTTCTGATATTTGAATTATCTAATTTTTTAGTCAACAGGTTATATAAACTTGAGACAAGTAACACATTCATCTTCATATCTTGAGCAAAAACATAGTGCATGAAACAAAATAGCTGCTCAGTTTGCTGCAGAATGGAATTTAGACAATCCCTGCCCTCAAGGAGCTTGCCGATGACTTAGGGAGTCAGCTGTATTAAAAACGACACACAGTGTTATAAGTGTAACAGGGGAAGTATGTCAATACAGAATTAAAAGAGAAAATTAGAGGGTTAGTTGTGCACAGCAGCATCAGGGAGAGCATTAAAGCAGAGGTCATTCCAGTGGAGCAGGTACGAAAGGACAATTCAGGTGGAGGAAACACCATGCAAAGAAGAAGCAAGGACCACAATCCTTAAATGTACTGGAGTGTACTGGGAAAGTAGCACTATAGAAGCAGACTAAGCTTAGAAACAAGCAGATGCAAAAACATATAGGGTTTGCAGGCCAGGTTATGCAGTTTGAACTTTTTTTGACAGGCAGTCAGGCAGGGGACAGTGAAAGGTTTTGGCGTGGAAGCAATATGATCAGACTTGCCTTCTGCAAAGAGCACTTTGGCTGTAATGTTGAAATGAGGGCAAGTGCAGTGGCAGATTGACTTGTTAAGGTGCTATGGCAATAGAGCAGGGTAGAGAAGGCTATGACCTTAAGTAAAGCAGGGGCAATGGAAATGGAGAGATGGGGTAGATTTAAGAGATTCATAAGATGAAATAGACAAGACTTGATGACTAGATATGAGGGTTCAATAATAGGGAAGCACTGAAGAAGTTTCCAGTTTTATAGCTTTAGAGATAAGTAAATGGTGGTGCTACCCATCAGGGTAGAAAATACAGGACTGGTTGTAGGGGAGTGGAGAAAGTTGACAGCAGAAAGGGAAAATGAGCCCTTTGGAACATTTTGAGTGTGGAGTGACTGCAGGCCTTTTTATTAGAGAACACTGCAGTGCAATGTCCTTGTATGACTTCCCCAGGCAAAGGTAGTTTTTCATAAAACTCATGCCTTTGTGATCCCTGTTTAACATCTTGTATATTATTATTCTCTCTATCCCATAGAAAATCTGCATTTTCTCCTGTGCTTTCTGTCCCAGTTAATGGTGACACGTCCCATCCACTTACCTAAGCCCATCAATTCAGAGTCAATATCAATTCTTCTGACTTTCTTAAAAGTCACATCTGATAGGTCACTCAGAATATTCTCTAACCTTTCCCCTCCCCTTCTCTTTATGGTCACCGTTTCAACCAGCATACCCACCCACTGCTATATACACACATATCTCAGCCCTCCGCCACTAATTTATCTCTCCAAGACCTTGTAGAGATTTCCTAATTGCTATTTCTGCCTCTACTCTTTTCCCTGAACTATGTGTTATTCACACTATTGCTGGAACAATTTTTCTATAACATGCTTGATCACATCGTTTTGGTACTTAGAAACATCAATAGCTCCTCAATGCCTAAATGGTCAGGAACAAAAACCTTGGTTTTTCATCATGTGTACGAAACCTATTTTTTTGACAGAGCAAATTACTCCTCACTTCATTAATGATAACTCAATTGACTTTAAATATTCAAAGGCACTCTGATAGGTTAGTTTTGTGACTCTGTATCATTTCAGGTAGGTTTTGGACAGGTGAAAAGAGCCATCTGTCTCACTCCCACCACCACCACCACCACCACCACACACTGTTAGATTCAGTTCCACAATTAATTAAGGATTGCTAAGGATTGATTTGTTTTCCCCTAAAAGGTGTGTTGGAGTCCTGATTGTCAGTGCTTGTGAATGTGACCTTATTTGGAAATGGATCTTTGCAGATGTAATCAAGTTGAGTCCGTTAGGGTGGGCCCTAATCTAACATGGCTGGTGACCTTATGAAACGTGGAAATTTGAACATTGTCTCATATAGAATGCCATGTAATGACAATGGCAGAGATTGAGGTGCTATAGCTACAAGCAAAGGAATGCCAAGGATTGACAGCCACCACCAGAAGCTAGGAATAGGCAAAAGGATTCTTCCCTACAGGTTTTACACGGAGCAGGGGACTGCTGACATCTTGATTTCAGACTTCTAGCTTCCAGAACTGTGAGACAGTATATTTCTGTCTTTTAAAGCAAAAGTACTTTGTTATAGCAGCCCTAGGAAACTAATACAGATACCATATTCCACGGGATGCAAAATAACCACACAGCCTATCTTCTCTCAGCCTCCAACCTTTCTAGTGGGGGCAGTTGCTTGCAGCACTGTCACTACATGGCAATGATGCTTCAAATTTAGAAAAAGTGCCATCATTGTACTTCCATGTGGAGCTTATATCACCATTCCTGAAGAATGTATAATCTGTGGGATTCTGTTCAACAGAATGTATACAAATGCACTTTTCTGATTCTTGATTCAAATTCAATGTTGGCAAAACCAAGCATGGAGAGAAACTACAGTGAGTGCTCAGGTGTCTCCAAATCATATCTGTGCCTCTAACTCACTGGAAAGCCCATTTCCATGCAGACTCACTTTTGGATAAAAGCAGTACAGTGTTACCTAGAGTAATAGTCCGTATTCACAACGCTATAACGATACTACCTGAGACTGGGTAATTTATAAAGGAAAGAGGTTTAATTGACTCACAGTTCACATGGCTGGGGGTACGGGGCACTCAGGAATTTACAATCATGGAGGAAGATGAAGAAGCCAGCACCTTCTTTACAAGGTGGCAGGAGAGAGAACGAACACAGGGGAAATTGCCACTTTTAAAAACATCAGATCTCATAAGAATTCCCTCACTATCAGGAGAACACCCCCATGATCCAGTCACTTCCCACCAGGTCCCTCCCTCAACACCTGGGGATTACAATTCCAGATGAGATTTGGGTGGGTACACAGAGCCAAACCATATCATTCTGCCCCAGGCCCCTCCTAAATCTCATGTCCTTTATACATATCAAAACCAATCATGCCTTCCCAACCATCCCCCAAAGTCTTAACTCATTTCAGCATTAACCCATGAGTCCAAGTCCAAAGTCTCATCTGAAGAAAGTAAGTCCCTTCCACCTATGAGCCTGTTAAATCAAAAGCAACGTACTTACTTCCAAGATACAATGGGGAACAGGCATTGGGTAAATGTTCCTCTTCCAAATGGGAGAAATTGGCAAAAACAAAGTGGCCCTATCCAAGTCTTAAACCCAACCGGGCAGTCATTAAACCTTAATGCTCCAAAATCTCCTTTGACTCCATATCTCACATCTAGGGTATGCTGATGCAACGGGTGGGCTCCCATGACCTTGGGCAGATCCACCCTTGTGGCTCTGTGGGGTACAGCTCCTGTGACTTCTTTTACAAGCTGGCATTGGGTGCCTGCAGCTTCTACAGGGGCATGGCACAAGCTGTCAGTGGATCTACCTTTCTGAGGCCTGGAGGATGGTGGCCCTCTTCTTACAGCTCCACTAGGCAGTGCCCCCATGGGGACTTCGTGTGGGGTTCCAACCCCACATTTCCCTTCCACAGCACCCTAGCAGAGGTTCTCTATGAGGGCTCTGACCCTGCAGCAGACTTCTGCCTGGACATCCAGGCATTTCCATACATGCTCTGAAATCTAGGCGGAGGTTCCTAAATCTCATATCTTCTCTTCTGTGCACCCTTAGGGCCAACACCATGTGGATGCTGCCAAGGCTTGGGGCTTGCACTCTCTGAAGCAATGGCCCAACCTGTACCTCAGCCCCTTTTAGCCATTGCTGGAGCTGGCGTGGTGGGGACACAAAGCACCAAGTCCTGAAGCTGCACAGAGCAGTGCAGCCCTGGGCCCCGCTCATGAAGTCGTTTTTCTCTCCTAGGCCTCTGGGCCTGTGATGGGAGGGGCTACCGTGAAGGTCTCTGACATGCATGGGAGACATTTTCCCAATTGTCTTGGCTATTAACATTCAGCTCCTCATTACTTATGCAAATTTCTGCAGCCAGCTTGAATTCCTCCTCAGAAAATGGGTTTTTCTTTTCTACCATATGTTCAGGCTGCAAAATTTCCAAACCTTCATGCTCTGCTTCCCTTTTAAACATAGCTTCCAATTTCAAACCATCTCTTTGTGAACGCATATAACTGAACACTTTCAGAATAAGCCACGTCACATCTTGAATGCTTTGCTGCTTAGAAATTTCTTCCACCCAATACCCTAAATCATCTCTCTCAAGTTCAAAGTTCCACAGATCTCTAGGGCAGGGACAAAATGCCACTTTGCTAAAGCATTAGTCTCTTTGCTAAAGCATAGCATGAGTGACTTTTACTCTAGTTCCCAATAAGTTCCTCATCTCCATCTGCGACCACCTCAGCCTGGACTTCATTGTCCATATCACTATCAGAATTTTGGTTACAACGATTCAACAAGTCTCTAGGAGGTTCCAAACTTTCCCACATCTTCCTCTCTTCTTCTAAGCTCTCCAAACTGTTCCAACCTCTGCCAGTTACCCAGTTCTAAAGTCATATCCACATTTTCAGGTTATCATTATAGCAGTGCCCCACCCCCAGTACAAATTCTCTTTATTAGTCCATTTTCACACTGCTATAAAGATACTACCTGAGACTGGGTAATTTATAAAGGAAAGAGGTTTAATTGATTCATAGTCCCTCATGACTGGGTAGGCCCCAGGAGACTTACAATCATGGCCAGAGGTGAAGGAGAAGCCAGCACCTTCTCCACAAGGCAGCGGGAGAGAGAGAGAGTACAGGGGAAACTGCCACTTTTAAAACCATCAGATCTCATGAGAACTCCCTCATTATCAGGAGAACAGCATGGGGGAACGGCCCCCACGATCCAGTCACCTCCTACCAGGTCCCTCCCTCAACTCATGGGGATTACAATTCGAGATGAGATGTGGGTGGGGACACAGAGCCAAACCATATCACCTAGTTTTAAATGCAGAAACTCAGTCCTCTTTGTCTATTCCCCCCAGCATTGTGATATACCCTATTAAAGGCTTTCTATCTTGGTTACTTTTTTCTCTGTAGGTGTTTCAGAGCGTGACATTTAAACAAAAGAAATGAAATTCTGATTTTACCTCAATAAGGATTTTGTGGTATTTTACTATATACACTTTATCAAGTTTACTTTATTTCATTTGTTTCCTGGATATGCTATGCTCTTTCAAGTCTCTACTAGGTTAAGTTACGCATGAAATGTTTCTTTTTTTGCATTTGCTTTAGTAATGGCACATAGTAGGTGCCTAATAAATATGTGTTGAAAGGATTAGTGTATGCTGAATAAATGCATGCATGGATTATAGAATTAAAATAGCATTTTGTATTACATTGTGAAATGCTGGGAGACCTTGCCTTTTTCAATTTCTACTCCACAGTGTTGAATAAAAGTCTGCTGGTTGAATGAATAATTTGGTTAGTGAATGAATACTTAAATGAAGGATTACAGCAGGCTAGAAGCCCTGCATGTGGCAGTTTTCCTTTTGTCTTTTACAAGGGTTGGGAGCAAGAGATAAAAACTCATACAAGGGCCCAAAAGTTTGTCTCATCTCTTTTAACTGAAGACTGAATGGAGCTAATCTAATTATAAGATCAAAGAAATGAAAATATTAAAATCTAGGAAGAATTTCATTGTATCATTTATTTATTCATTCATTCACTTGCTCACTTACACTTACAAATTGACAAAGCATCTGACAGCTGAGTAATGACTCCACTTTTTTTATTTTTTTAATTATTGGAAGTCTGATCTCGGGGAAGCCAATTGGGCCATTGGTTGAATCTCAGAGACAGCCAGCATAGTAATTGCCTTCGGGACCATCCATGACATAGGACGTACTATGTGACTCATAAATTAGAGACGTGGTTCACAAAATGTGGTCCAGGGACACATAGGAGTCCCTAAAACCTTTTCAGAGAGTCTCGCTTCAGAATAATTATTATGACAGTACCAAGACCTCATTCGCCTTTTTGGTTTTCATTAAGTAGAGTTTCCCAGACACTATGGATGTAACAACAGATTGAATGCAGACATCAGTATGCAAATCCAGCTATCATCTATTAACCCAAATATTAAAGAAATTTGGAAAAAATATAAAACAATGTTTCTCTTCACTTTTTTTTTTGGGAAAAAGTTATTTTTATAAAATCATGTCATTTGTGCTAATATGTAATGGTTTTATAATAGTTATTTTAGAATGAATAAATGTTTATAAAAATTTCTCAGTTTCAATTTAGAAAATGATAAATATTGATAGATATAACCCACATAAACAAAAGTATGTTGAGGTCCTCAATAATTTTATGACTATAAAACTCTTCTGAGACCAAAAATGTGAGAACCACTAAATTAGATAAATATGGACTCATGAGAAGTTTCAAAACACACTGTCCTTTCAGAAAGTATCGCCTAGAGAATGTTTCGTTCTTGCTGGTGTGTAGGTTGGGCACAAAGGCAGAAGATGAATCATTTACATAGTTTAGGATGTCCACCTTTTTCTCTGCTTTATTGCTCTTAACCTACTCCCTCTATAAGAGTAACCGTAGTGTTTTCCCAGGAATCTGCAAATAGAATTGAATGTATACTTACTTATTTATTTTCGAGACGGGAGACCTGTCACTCTGTCACCCCGGCTGGAGTGCAGTGGCACAATCACGGCTCACTGCAGTCTCGACCTTCTGGGCTCAAGTGATCCTCCCACCTCAGCCTCCTGAGTAGCCAGGACTACAGCTGCGTGCCACCATGCCTGGCTAATTTTAAATTTTTTTGTAGAGACAGGTTCTCGCTATGTTGCTTAGGCTGGTCTCAAACTCCTGGGCTCAAGCAATCCTCCCATCTAAGCTTCCCGAAGTGCTGGGATTATAGGTGTGAGCCACCACGCCCAGCCTAGAATTGAATATTTAATCTATGGCCTGAGGCCAAACTCTAGGGTCCGTTCTTTCTAATGCAAATCCCTCAAAGTGTTTTTCTCCCAACACCATGAGGCCTCAGCTCCTTCACAAAATCGTTCAAGGGCAAGTGATTATAATCATTATAATCATTATATTGGAAGGTGTGCTAATTATGTAGTTTCTGAAATGTTCTCTCAATAAAGTAGCCATTCAGTAATGGGGAAAAATAAAATAACTCTTAATCACAACAACAGAATTTTTAATAGGAATCCATAATTTAAAAAATTGATCTACAAATATTTTCACTTTTGTTAAATTGCCAAAAAAATTAAGATGTTTACCTCTGGTCTTATAGCTAAGTAGCCTAGCACATGCCTACATCCATTTAAGAAATGTTTATTGACCACCCATGATGTGTTAGGTACACTGAGAATATACGTAAATACCCAGCCTAGGAGCTGGTGTGTAGCCTGTGACTGGCCTCTGATAAATAGTCATTGAACTTTGCCTTTTATAAAATGAAATAATTAAAGACCCGGACAAACTATGCATGATATTTTTATTATACTTCATTAACATGGGAGCCTGTTTTAAATAACCACACTGGACAACTAAATTGGTAGTTTATTCCCAATTAGGGCCTCTTAAAGGAAGTGAGATGTGTAAATTGAGATGTCAGTAACAAATAAAATAGAGGAGAGCCTCATGTAGCTCAGGCTAATCTGTAGTTATTCCCATTGGCAAGATCACAAAATGGAAATAAATAGTGGCATGTGACAATGTGCTAAGATAGAAGATTATGTAGTCGTGTCAGAGGCTTCCTCATGCAGCATGCTGGCTAAATACAGGTCCAGAGATGATTTATTATTCGCTGTCTTTGAGCAGTTGGTTCTGCTTGGTGTTATGGTGTCAAATGAGCTCACTTAGTGGTACACTGTTTACGCAAACCAAACAAAATCCGAAAAACAATTTGACCCAATGAAGAACTGAAACTAAACAGTATTCTCAATTACCTTTATTTCAGGGAAATATTATTGCTAACTGATTAAATGAAACCTTTGGTGTCTGGAGGACTTTCTGTGAGGAAGGATCAGTTATAGACAATCTGGGTTTGGGAAATTCGACTGTATCTCCAGTGAGGTCCTAATAGATTTAGCTCCTCTTGAATGGTTATGTGAAAAGATAAATAAAACATAGTTCAAGCCAGGTTTCTGCTATTTAAATGCCATGATGGGCAGATAATAGCCCATATCTTCATGGTATAATACTTGAATCTAAAAAAAGCCTAGTGAAAAAAGTAACACCTAAGTTATTTTCATTTATCTTCCATTGCTTTGAAGGTAAAGGTGTCACTGTTGCTAATATAAATTGGTATATAACAACAATGTGAACAACAAATAACACAAACCAAGGAGCAAAAATTAGCCACTAGTAAAAAAGCAGCTTATGCTACCCTAGTTGTTGCTAGCTAGGCATGGATTTTTTTAAAAACAATTATAGATAGGGCTGCCATTTATAGACCTCTTGCTATGTGCTATATCCATTTGTTGGGACACACAGCATCTGCATGCCAAAATGGCTAACCCATCTCTGGTTACTTGATGTGAGGTGGTGCTGTCAGATGGAATTATTTCCCAGCATTCCAGAGCTATATTGCATTCTGGCTGGAAGTTATACTTGAGTAGGCTTTTAACATCATTCTTTTATTCATTGATCTTCACTAAGTGATTACCATGAAGAAGACATTGTCTTGGCTGCACTGGAGATTACAGCTTAATTCTAAAATGGCACATGAACATATAATTATAAAACTGCTTGATAAAAGTGGTGATACCACCAAAGTCACCACCAGGTTCTGGCATTGGAGAAATAGTGTGTACACACACACACACACACACACAGAATCACACACACACCGGAATTGCTAGTTGGCATAATACTATTTTGTAGATAATTAAGCATTTTATAATTTCAATTTTGTAATGTTCTTTTTTTGTAGCATGGAAGCCCCATGCAATCCTACAGGTTCTCGATAACCTATCGTCCTAAGCACTGTGGCTATATGTCTGCTAGATTAAGAGACTTGCAGCAGGGGAGTAACAAAGGCAGCTTTGAGTTCTAAAAAGATCACTTTGACAGCAGTGTTGGAGTGGGCATAGGAGTGGCTACAGGAAGATGGTGAAGAGACTTTTTCGGCATCCCAGCAAGAAATGCTGCTGATGTTGATGTTGAAGAGATGCCTAGAAATATTACAGATATATTTGGGGCAGAATTGCCAGGACTTTGTGATGGATTCTTTATGGAGGGTGAGGAAGAGAAGGAGACAAAGATAACTTTTCTAAATTTAAAAATAAAAAATCTAATTGGAGGATGGCTTATTTGTATAAGACACCAGAGGAAGAACTAGTTCTTAGGGAAAAGATGTTCCTTTACTTTTGGACTTGTCGATATGTTGAGGAGGTAAGCATTTTACTTCTAGAGTGGAAATATTGAAAAGGCAGCCAAATAATCTGTTCTTGATCACAGAAGTCAGAAATGGAAATACAGATTTGGGAATCATGAATATATAGATGATAATTAAAACAAGGATGTTTCTAGGCTTCTCTTTCTTTACAGCAACTGAAAAAGGGTACTACTTTGAAAAGGATGGCCAACCACAGAGAGGAAAGACAACCTTGCTCAACACTGCACGGATTTTTAATGTTTATGGCTCGAGGCAAAGTCATTTGCAAGGGAGCCTGAGAAGGAGCAGCCAGTGAAGAAAGAGAAACTGGAGATTATGCAGTCACTGCAACTACTCCTATGAGAAGAAGTGAGGTAACTGCACTCAATGCTGCTGAGTGGCCAAGTAAAACAGATATTTCTCATGAAACTAGAAAGATGGAGGACATTAGTCACCTTAGGAAAAGTGTTTTTGGTAGGATGGTGGGAAGCCAAATCATTGAGTCTAGTAGACAAAATAATAGCTCCCCTAAGATCCCCAGGTCCTAATCCTCAGAACCTATGAAGATATGACCTTACATGGCAGAGAACTCTGCAGATGTGATTAAGGATCTCGAAATGGGGAGATCATACTGGATTATCTGGGTGTGTCAAGTGTAATCACAGCAGTCCTTAGGTGTGAAAGAGGGAGGCAAGAGAGACAGAGTCAAAGAGCTTCGAAGATGCTAAGCTGTTGGCTTTGAAGATGGAGGAAGGGGAGGGGCCACAACCTAAGGAATGTGGATGGCATCTAGAAGTTGGAAAAAGCAAGGCAATGGATTCTTCTCTAGAGTCCCCATAAGGAAAGCAGCCCTGAAACAATTTTTTTTTTTTTTTTGAGACAGTCTCACTCTATCACCCAGGCTGGAGTGTAGTGGTGCAGTTTGGGCTCACTGTAACCTCCGCCTCCTGGGTTCAAGCGATTCTCTCATCTCAGCCTCCGAATAGCTGGGATTACAGGTGCGCACCACCATGCCTGGCTCATTTTTGTATTTTTAATAGAGACGGGGTTTCAACATGTTGACCAGGCTGGTCTCAAACTCCTGACCTCAAGTGATCCACCCACCTCAGCCACCCAAAGTGCTGGGATTACAGGTGTGAGCCACCGTGCCTGGTCTGTAATACCATATTGATTTTAGCTCAGTGAGACCCATTTCAGAGTTCTGACTTTATGAACTGTAAGAAAATAAATTTGTGTTGCTTTAAGACACCAAATTTGTGATAATTTGTTATAGCAGCATTAGGAAACTGATATACCATAGGTCAAAGGAATGACAGAGGAAATGAAGACAGCGAGTGTGGATGTTGGGAAATTTGCGAAGGAGCAGTTATTACAAGATATAATGGAAGAAGCTCCTGCTTAATGTGGGAGAAACTTAAGGAACCAAAGTTCTTTAAGGACAGACAGGTGATCAAGAGCACAGGTAGAAGCACTGAAGTTAGACAGAATAATGGACGCCTCATCCTAAGGGGAAATGAGGGAGAAAAGGGTATATCTTGTGCAGACAGGCTTCTAGATTTTATGTAGGGACACTGAGGAAGTTCTTATTGATGAGTTGTACTTAATCTCTCTGTGCCTCAGTTTCCTTATTTAATAAATGGCTATAATAATAGTATCTCATAGGGTCTTCCTGAGGATTAACTGCATTAATGCATGTCAAGTGCAGTGCTCACATTCATTGTAAGGGCTCAACACAAATTATTGTAATTGTATGAGTTTGCTAGGGCTGCTGTAACAAAGTTTCATAGACCAAGTGTTTTAATGACAAATTTTATTGTCTCACAGTTCTAGAGGCTAGATGTCCACAATCAAAGTGTTGACAGCATTGGTTCCTTCTAAGGACTGTGAGGAAAGAATTTGTTCCAAACCTTTCTCCTCAACTTGTAGGTGGTTGTCTTCACATTATCCTTCCCATATGACTGTCTGTCTCCGTGTCCAAATTTCTCCTTTTTAATAAAGACACCAATCATGTCAGATTAATGTCCTTCCTAATGTCCTCATCTTAATTAATTAAATCTGTAATAATCCTGTATCCAAATAGGTCACATTCTGAGGTTCAGGGAGTTGTGATTTTGACATATGAATTTCAGGAGGGACACAATTCAATCCATAACAATTATTTGCTGTGAAGAGTCAGTGAGACCAATGACCATGAGTAAGAATGGTTAGATGAAGGTTTGAAGAAAGAGGAAAAGGTTTACCACATTCATTGTGGTAGAGAGAAATATAGCTGACCAGGTAAATTCAGCAAGATTACCAGGGAGCATTCAGTGCCCAGAGGAGATTGATATGAAGAATTCAGAGTGGTGTAAAACCCAAACTGCTTACCATTGCCTACAGGGCCTCATGTAATCTGGCCTCACTGTACCCTCTCTGAACTACATGGTATCACACTCCTCCATGTTCTTAGGTTCCAGCCCTGAAACTCACCAAGTTCTTTTGGCCTCGATATAGTTTGGCTGTGTCCCCACCCAAATCTCATCGTGAATTATAATCCTGGTAATCCCCACATGTCTAGGGAGAGACCTGGTTGGAGGTGATTGGATCATGAGGGCGTTTCCTCCATTCTATTCTCATGACAGTGAGTGAGTTCTCATGAGATCCTATGATTTTATAAGGGGCTTTTCCCTCTTTGCTCCTCCCAATCTGTCTCCTGCCACCATGTGAAAAGGTCCAAGTTTGCTTCCCCTTCACCTTCTGAAATGATTATAAGTTTCCTGAGGCCTCCCTAGCCATATGGAACTGCGAGTCAATTAAAACTCTTATTTATAAATTACCCAGTCTCAAGGAAGTTATTTATAGCAGTGTGAGAACCAACTAATATAGGCCTGTTGGCCATTGCACATGCTTTTCCTTCTGTCTGGCATATTCCTTCCTAGATCATCTTGTGGTAGGCTTTGTTTCATCATTTGGTCTTCACTCAAATGCTCCCTCTTAAGAGAGGTCTTCTGAAGACCACTTCTCAGAAGTAGTTTTCCATTCCCTTTTCTAGTTTTTCCTTTTCTCTTCTGTTATTTCTTTTATTAAAATACTCTACTCCCTAACGTTCTAATGTGTTTTTTGTATCTTTTTATTTTATGTGTTTATGCAAAATGAATAATGTATTTTGTGCATATTATCTTTAATTTATGCAAAGAATATTGTGTTTTATATCTATATATATCTCATTGTACTTCTATTTTCTACTAGATACTCTTATTTTTAAGGTATATCACTTTGCTTTGGGAACATCTAACTTGTTTCTAAGTATTGTTTAACATCCTATGGCATATAGCCATAGGAACTTACCTATTTACCCTCCCAGAGATGCATACCCAGGTGCCCTCTAGCCTCTAATCATAACAATAAAAAGGAAGTTGCAATAAACATCCTATGGCATATAGCCATAGGAACTTACCTATTTACCCTCCCAGAGATGCATACCCAGGTGCCCTCTAGCCTCTAATCATAACAATAAAAAGGAAGTTGCAATAAACATCCTAGTACATGCTCCCTTATGGACTCATATGGGAATTCCTCTAGGATATATGGTATACTCAGAAGTGGAATTGCTAATGGGCTGTATGTATTCTTAATTTGAGTAAATCATTCCAGATGGTTCTCTAGAATGGCTTTACCAGTCGAATCTCCTACTATTGACCCAGAATTTAAGTTTATGAGAACAGGACCTATATCTACCTTGTTTCACTAGTTTTTATTGTTTAAGTACAAGAGGAAGAAGTGGAATTCCTTCCTAATGGGGGCTTCTCCTGGCTATTGTAAGACGTAAGGCTGGGGCAAGGTACCAGTAGCATGAGATAATGCATTCCATACCCAACTGTGTAAGGAGCATAGTAAAGACAGTGAGGAAGTAAATAGAGGATCAAGGAACTAGAGGTCACTATAGGGCCAGAAACACATGAAGAGAATGTAATTGAACAATTAAGCTTGAAGGATGGAAAGTTGTTGTCACAGAGTATAATGCCTTATTTTAGTTTGGTTTCTCTAGAAAACAGAACCTAAGGTAAAGCTCACATGTGACACTCTATTTAGAATATTATCCTAGGGAAGCAAGAATGAGCAGAAACACAGAAATAAAAGAGAGAAGGAGAAAAAGCAGATTCAAAGTTGTGCATTACCAATTTGTCTACAGCTTCTCTAGAAAACAAAGCTGGTTGCTGAGTCATGCCAGAGTAGCCAGAAATACAGAACCATTGCATCTTTGAACAGCTCCTGGGTGGGCAGGAAGGGTGAACAATTTATTTGTTGTCTTCATCCTGGCTCCTGTCTCTCAGTGGTCAAAGTCGGCTCCACAGGTCATTAATTCCACTATATTTCTGGGTTGTGTTTTGGGCCCCTCCAGGCAGCAGTGAGGGAAGCCAGAGTTTCTGTGGGTTCAGTCAGGTCAGCCCAGGGGCCTGGAGCTGCTGATGCTCCCTCTACAGTGGGTGTTATGAAGGTCATGCTGGTCTGGCCCTGGATCCAAGGGAGGCCGAGGTCAGTGACAGCATTAAACTGGGCTTTAGGACCATGGGGACAACACCAGCCATTGCTTGGGCCACTCTGGCTGAGAAGCAAGGCAAAGGGCTGAAGCCCTGGAGGCAGGCAGGACTGTGCAGATCTGGGGTGCATATGCACTCACAGAATTGGTGATTTTAGAGGGATTTCCAGGTGTGACTATGGGAGTGATGGCTGAAGCTGAGATGGAGCTATTAGATATGGGAAGACTAACGAGTTGAGACGTTAAGTGTTGGATGGGTAGTCCAGGTTGACTCTGAAATAGCACAGGATGGTGGGATGCTAAATACTGTGAACCTAGTGCATAGTTAGTGTACACTGGCTATATTATTTGATGACTACCTATACCTAGAAAAAAAAATCACTATTTAGGAAAGTCAGTGTACCCTGGGCTGAAACTTATTATGTATAGATAAAACCAGAAGACCAAATTTATTTATATTTTGTACTTTTAAAGTAAATTTTACTATTACTTGATTGTCAATTGGACAGACTATTAATTTCTAATTTATATCATTATTTTAAACAATTGTCTATTCCAGAAGGAAAATCAAGAACATGTTCCAAATTCTTTCTACGGAACTTCAGAAACATAAGCAAAATTCTTCTGGATAACAAATCATGGCTTCCTATCAACTCTAGGATTGGACCTGCTGTGTGTGGTACTGGGAGAGATACAGCAAAGATAATCAAATGTGAACCATGCCCTCCAAGAGTTTACAGCTCTGTAGGAGAGATAAATGTAGTTAGGCACCAATAATACAAAGTAGAAAGTGATAAATACCACAAGAAGGGCTGAGACAAAGTACAGTGCTGGCAAGTTCTGGAAAAGGGGTGGACACCTAGAAATAATCAGTGAAGCTATGAGATGAGAGACAGAGAGAGAGAGAAAGGGAGAGAGAGAGAAAGAGAGAGAGAGAGAAAAAGAGAGAGAGAAAGAGAGAGAGAAGAAAGGGCTAAAGCCAGAATCCTGGGAAAATTTGGACTGGGTGGGAGTGGAAACAGATGATGGGGGACATTCAGAGAAAGCATGGGCAAGAGACTGTTCAATTCTAGATTGGGATCACACGAAGGCTCGGCTGCTGCTTGGAGGAGCTTGGAAATAGCCCAGATGTACCAGGAGTTAATGCCCATAACACTCTCATCCCCAACCGGGATCACTGGGAAGGCATTGGTAAATGACAGGCTACTGTCCCTTTGGAAAGAGGAGTAGAAAGAAGACTGATGCTTCCAATGCTAGGCCTGGAAGATTGTATGACATTATTGATGAGCTTCCACAGAGGAAGTAGAGGCACCACATATGGGGTTCACTTTCAAGTCTCTAGTATCTTAATAGACAGTTTTTTTTTTTTTAAAGAAGATAGTAGATTAAAGAGTGAAAATTTTAAATTATTTTTTAAATAATGAAGAGACTTGAGCTGGGTATGTTCTGGAGATATAAGCATTGATACAACAAAGTCCCTGCTCTGAAGTCTAATAAGGGAGATTGGCAAGTTAACAAGGATTTGTAACTTGGAGCACCATGTTGCTGTGGGGTCATGGGAGAGAAGCACTATCCTTCATGGTCAGCAAGACTTCATGGAAGAGGTATTGAGGTAAATAAAGGGATTGTGGGCTGCACGGAGCTTAGATAACATGAAAATTTGGGTGGATCCAATTGGCCCAGTTTTATAACCATATTGAGTGATGCTGGAACCTGGACAACAAAAGCATCAAAGGCAAATGGGATTTTCTCTTGGCTAGGGTTTGGCAAAACCAATCAGAAAGGAGGGCACTATGACTTGAGGTTCTAGCCTTAGCAACTGAAATGGCTGCTCATGGAGTTAGTGTGGTAGGATAAGGAAGCCTGAAGATAAATGAAAGAATAAAAGAGGGAAGGAAAGAAAACCAAAGACATGGTGAGAAAATGGAGTGTGAATCACCAGCATGGGAGTTTTGTCCCTCTTATGTCCCCAGGAGATTTTCTGCTGATCCATAGAAGGGACCTCAGTTGGGCCTTGGAGGGCTCCAAGCTGGAATTAAAGATTATGAGCACAAGGCTGATCTGATGGGGTGCCCTGACAGGAGTCTGTGTGCAAAGGTAACTATAGAGCCTCCTGTGTGGAAATTTATCCCAAGAAAATAAGATTGGCATGGGATGATCCTGAACTCAAATTGAGTCATCCAGGGGCTTGGGAGTCTGAATTAAGTATGGAAACATTACTGGATCTCTTCCTAGCTCAGCCTCTTGGATGCAGGTCCCTGCAAGAAACAGAAAGTGGGCAAAACCGGGAGGTTTCTGTGAAACACTTGGGCTGCTTGGGGACTTTTCTGTGTATAAAACAAGGGAAGACAGGCCTTTTATCATCCCCATTTCCATAGGCTACCTCTGAACTTTGACAATGTGAGAACTCTGGTGCTCTGGTGACAGTGCTTAGCAGAGACCAGGAGACCTAGTGGAGCAGAGGCTTACCTAGTAGGAGGAGGATTAGTCATGAGTATGTCCCACATCGCCCATGTGCTTAGATTAACATTGCAGACGGGCCTCTGAGGGGCCTGTGTTCTTCAGTCAATGGCAAAGAAAGGCCAGTGGATTTTAATTTCTCGTTGTCTTTGTACAGGTAGAAGAAGTCAAGATTTTAGGGTCTGGAATTATATAGACTGGCTCTGCAACTTATTAGCTCTGTGAATTTGATCAAAGTTACTTAACTCTCTGAGTTTCCTTCCTCAGGTGTGCTTACCTCCTCAGGTCAAAGGAGTAAATGAGAAATTACATGGAAGCCTTTAACTCATGACACAGAGTCCAACATCACAGGCCAGATTCCTTCAGCCTGAAGGTGCTTCCTCCTCACTCCCTGTCTCACTCTTACTCATCTTAAGTTTAAATGCCCTCCACTTTTTTTTTTTCCAGAGAGACATTATTCTTGAGCCCCTGTAGCAGACTCTAGATTGCCTACCCAGCATCCATTGCCACCCTCTCCTTTTTATTCGGGTATGCACTTCTCAAAGAATGCAATCGGGAAGAGTTAGGAACCAGTCCTGCAGAGCCTAAGAGGCTGGGAATGGTGATTCTCCCCTCCACCTCCAGCATTTAGGTGTGAGCACATGCTTAGTTTGGATTAATGACAGGTGAGAAGTCTCCTGGAAGCTTCCAAGAACGATTTCCCGACTCTGGAAAAGAGAATCTCTGTGACCTTTGGGCACTGTTGGGATTGCCCATAATAAATGGAGTTGTTCCAGTCATCCTGGGGCCATGGGTGGAGCAGCCCCAGGGGACAAAGCTGCCATACTGGGAATGGCAGGGGGAATAACGGGAACAGGCCAGGGCCTTCCCAGACACAACTGTGTTCCTGAATTCACCAACTAGAGCCTCCTGACCTTGGAACTTCTTGCCTTGTGAAACAGTAAGTTTCCTTATAATTTAAGCCATTCTAAATTGGGTTAATTATTAATTGCAGCCTCCCACATCTAAATTATAACCCCATATTTTTTTCTCTCATTTTCCTTCACAGTATTTCTCCCACATATGCTTACTTTTGTGTTTACTTATTTAATGTCTGTTTCTCTCACTGGATTGTACACTCTAAGTTGGCAGAGATCACAAGTTAATTTTGTTCACCATTGAATTCTAAGTATTTAGCACTGGGCCTGAGATGCAGGAGCTGCTGAAAGCACATTTGTTGAAAGACTGAATTAAAAGCTCAAAAAGTGGTCACTTTCCTTCTCTTCCTCCGTTTCCTTGTTCAGCATGGTAGAGTTGTAGATTTGACAGAGCATAGGATTGCTGGGAGGGAACTTAGGTTCCCCCTCAAACTCTTCCTAGCTGGGTGACCCTGGGCAACAGCCTGCACTGCATCGACAGCTTTCAAGCTTTTACCTCAATGAACGGTAAGAAAGTACATATGACCCAGTTGACCCAGTGTGCGTGCATACTCTGCTATTTTTTATTCTATTTGGTATCATTTTAAAAATGCTGGCTTTGACCCAGTACATCAATTTTATAATCCATTAATTAGCAACCCATTGTTTAAAAAAGCCCAGGACTCAATGAAATGTAAGGACTTTGCAGCATTATTCACAATAGCAAAATCATGGAGTCAACCTACGTGTCCATTAAGGGGTGATTGGATTTATAAATGTGGTTTTATATTATATATATACACATATATATATATATATATATATACAAAATATATACACACACACTATGGTGGTATACACACACATACACTGTGTACCTATCACCTGAAAAACTGGGAAAATTTTTTTTTGATTCAGGGGTACTACACACACACACACACACACACACACACACACACACACACAATGGAATACTACCCAGCCACAAAAACAATGAAATCATATCTTTTGCAGCAACATGGATGGAACTAGAGGCCATTATCCTAAGTGAAATTACTCAGAAACAAAGTCAAAAACTGCAGAATCTCTTATAAGTGGCAGCTAAACAATGGGCAGGCATGAGTATCCAGAATGGAATAACAGACACTGGGGACTCCAATAGGTGGGAGGGTGGGAGGTGGGTGAGGTAGGAATTACAACTTATTAGGTACAGTGCACATTATTAGGGTAATAGGTGCGCTAAAAGCCCAGACCTCACCACTATGTGTTATGTCCGTGTAATGCGACTGCACTTGTACCCCTGAATCTGAAATTTTTTTTTAAAGTGAAGACTTTGAAAATCTGTTTTTCTCCTTTTTGTCATTAAATCGCTAATAAAAATTCAGCCCATCAACTTAAAAGTCCATTATTACAGTGACATACAATTACTTATTTTCTCTTTTCTTGTGGAATTCTTCCTCACTCCTTTCTCCTCTAATTTTTTTTTTTTTGAGGTCTTTATAAAATGTACAGACTCTGGGATAGCTTCATGAAAAGGTACTTTGTGTACTTTCGCGATTTTCCTCCAGTTAGCACAAAAACAAACAGGACTATATTCCTCCTCCTCTGAAACTTAATGGTCTCATTCAACATATTTTACATGGGCCTCATTTTTAATATAAGTTTATGTATGTAACAGTGTATACAAATGTTACATGAGCCCCACTGCCACCATGTGGTTTAAAAACCCAAGAGAGTTGGTTGTAACATTCTCTAGATGCACAGTGAGGAATAGACCCTCACTATACTTTCCATCTCTCAACACAGAAACTGCCCTTGTCCTCCGTGAATTTGCTGGTGAAATTCCTCTGGGGGCAGAAGGAAAGGGAAAAAGCCACATGGAGATCTCACAACTCCAGAGCACAGCAAATAATGCGGTGGGGTGTACATATATATTTAGGAAACCATATTGCACCCTTCAGGAAAAAAAAATGTACTCAAAAGGTGACGAGAGAGCATTATCTTCTTGGGTGATCAAGAAAGCTCCCTTCCCAAAGACCTGCAGATTCGGAAGGTATAATCTCTGTCCCTCGAAACTCGATTCAACCCCTGCCCCCAGCATCACGTGAACTGGCAAACTAGATGTAAGTTATGGCCCCAGAGTCCGGGAGGGGCGCGTCGACGAGCTGCTTCGGGGTCACATGTCTTCGTAGAAAGGCATTGGTGTGACAGAGGAGGGCATGTCCAGGGTACGTGCGCCTGTTTGAGCTCTGGGAGGGAAGGCGAAGTGGAGAGAGCCTGCAGTGAAAACAGACTGGAAGGATGGAGGAAAGGGAGGGGAAGGAAAAAATGAACACCTCCCTGAACTTTCCTCTCCCCTCGTCCCACACACTTGAAATAGAAATAATAACATGAACAAAAATGCTTACAACCACGATGTTATCGCCCTACTTAAGTTGCCTCACTATGGAGGGTATGGGGTATAAAGTGCAGACTGCGGCTGTGTCGGGAGTAAAGGTTCGGGCTAGTGTGCGTGCGGGCGCGGGTGACCCCACCTTTAGGGAAGCCGGCGCCCAACTATCCAGGCAGTAGCCCCGGCTGACCCCCTCCCTCCTCCTTCCCTCCTCTCTTCCCTCCCTCCCTGCGTGTCTCCTCTGCACCGGCCCCCGCCGCGGAGCCAGGCGGCAGCACCGACGCCGCCGCAGCTCCTGCCCGCATCGCGCTAACCCGCGCCCCCGGCTCACACGTAGCCGGAGCGACTGAGCCGGCAGCCCCGGGCCCACGCTGCGCACCGTGTGCACGGCGGGGCTGGCTGAGCTGACCTGCGCTGGGCTCCGGCGCCGCAGGCGGCTGGGGAGGGCGGCGTGGGAGAGGACGCTGAGACGCAGGGGCGGCCGCGCCGAGGTGACAAGCTGCGCACCTGGAAAGTTACCCGGCTGTCTGGTGAGGTTCGTGGGCCGGGGGTCTTGGGCGCCGGGGTGTGAGGGCGCGCGGGGAGGGACGGGGTCGGGGTGCGCGCGTGTGCATGCTGTGAATGCGTTGCGCGATGTGCGCCTCTATTCCACACCCAGCCGGTCTCTTGCTTGTGCTGTTCGAGTGTGGACGTGTGTACGCGTTGCATTCGCTCGGTGTGGCAGCGTTTCGTGAGCTCCTGGAGGCAGGGAAAGGCTACTTGTGTTTAGAGGTTCTGTTGAGGGCGGGAGGGGCTCAGCCCCAGTGGGGAGTCCTCAGGGTTCTCTAGGTTTAGCGAGGAGAAGCGGTGGAGGCTGTTGCTCCGAGCTAGGGGCTTGGCGGTGCTGTCAGGGCTTGCGCTCCCGGCTTTGCTTCGTCGAGCTCTGGGTAGTTGCTAGGGGACAGTCCTCAGGCAAGGACTTTTAGGAGTCCTGGTAAACTTGTGTGGGTGTCCTTTTGTCACTCTGGGCACCGTGAGGCGCTTTCATATTTCTGTATTTCTCGGTGATGAAGAAACAAGAGCAAACAAAGCCCAGAAACCAGCCACTTTGGGGATGAGAAAAAAAGAAATAGGTTCAGTTCTGAGAAGAACTACGGTGCAACTACGAAGCAGCTGAGGCCAGAGCTGACAATAAAAGCAACGCATGCAGAATTAGTAGGTAGGAAGGGTGACGCTGGGACAAATGCCTTGATTTCCTGATCTTCATCTTGTTCCCCAAGTTCCCAGGGGCTTTTTCCTTCTTCTTCTTCTCCTTCTTTTTTTTTTTTTTTTTAAGGAAGAGAGCAACATACACCTGCCCCCACCCCACCACACCCCCATATTTAGAGTTTCTTAGAAATTGTCTCTTTTCTTTGCAAGTTTCTATTTAACTCATGAAGAAGGCGATCATCCCACATAACATACACTAGCTGTTTTCAGTACTCCTGTTTAGTTTTGCACAGGAGGGTATGAGCTAATATGGTAGAGAATTCTCTATGGAGAATTAGAGTGCATCCTCTCCGTTGGAACGCTGTATGACTAAGAATAAACGACCTGAAAAGATGATGCCCAGGGATCTTTCTCTTTTACGTGAAATCCTTAACTCCAGTTCTATGAAGTCATTACAAGTGAGGCTAATGAGAATTCACCTCACAGTGAAGGCATATGTTGCCTGGCTGTTGCCCAAGTCCTGTGATCCCTTATTGTCTTGCTTCCTCTAGGCTATTTTTCCTATGAATTATCTCTTCTTCTCCCATGTTTTCGTTTTTCATATCTCCTGTGCTTCATTATCCTGGAGCTACAGACATTTTCAAATTTTCATTATTTTAAAAATCCCTCACATGAATCATGATATCGTCTTGCAGGCTCTACTCTTAGTGTCAGCTCTTTCCATGGTCCCTTGTAGTTGAGTGTCTATCCCCACTCTTTGACAAATCAGATTCAGCACTTTTCTCTCTGATCTCATTTGCTGTGACAGGCCTGTGGGATGTGAGGTACAGCCTGCTCACCTCTTAAGGATCTTATCTGCATGGCCTTTCTGATGCTTCTCCTAAATCTCTTATTGGTACACGTGTTCCTTCTCCTTTGTGGTTTGCTTCTCCTCCTCTTCTCCCACAAATAATATCCACAGATATTACCTATATGTTCATAGGTAACAATAGAGACATTCCTTTCTTACCTCCCTTAGTGATCTCATCTACAAATGGTACTTCAAGTCTTCTATGGAGCAATCTCTTCCCTTGAGTTTTCTTTTTTGCTTCTACCTGCTAGACATTTGCATCATGATGACCCACAAGCATCTCAAACTCAATATATGTAAATCCAGACTCATTACTGTCTTTTCAAAGCATGCTCATTCTCCTGACTTCTGTCAGTGCCACAGTGTCTAGCCCATACACGGTGCCCTATGTGTTCTTTTTGAATGACTGAATGAATGAAGAGTAGATAGTAATACTTTCCTTCAAGCCTCCTAAGATCAAAACATTGAAATCATTTTGATTGCCCTCCCATGCACATCCATTTAATTACTACATTAGAGATGCTATCCTGCAGTGTTCCTCCTACTCACCCTCTTCTAATATTAATCTCTTCACATCCTCTCTCACTTTAACCAAAGCAGTACCTTCTTACCATATCTTACAGTTTTCTTTCCAACCTCATATAGACCTAGACACTCTCCTCTCCTCATCGCTAATATCCTGGGCACTTGCCTCCAATTCATCAACTTCAGCCTCTATTTATGTATCAATAACTGCTTAATATTTTCAGCTTTCCTCTTTCTTTAGCTTTTCTTGTCCCTCATTTCTTACTGCTCACTAAACTTCTCTACTTAAAGTTTCCACTGGTGCTTCAAACTGAGTATATCCAAAATTAAACTCACTGTCCTATCCCTCAAATCTGCTCCTCATTTTGGTCAATGACATTACCTTTTACCCAGTTGCCACAGTATAAACTTTCAAATCCTCATCGTCTTTCTTCTTGCCACCACTCAAAAATTCTGTCAGCTATAATCTTCTGACCTAGACTTACAGACCTACATTTCTGTGTGTTTGCTTGTTTATCTGTTAATGTAGCCCCCCAAATAGCTGAATTTGGCAGTCAAATATAGGATAGTGGCATTCATAAAATTCACCGCGAACATTCTGCTGGGGGGGTGGGAGGGAGGCACTTTAAAGAGATAACCAACCTCCAGAGTAGCTGCAACTTTGGTACAACAAGGTCATATGATTTCCTGTCAAGAGAAAGTTTTTCTCCAGCCAGGATGCTGTGGACAGAGAAAACAAGCAGTAGATTCCAAACTGAGCCCCGGGTCAACAGTCACAAGGTTGGATGGACAGATGCTTTTAATTGTGGCATTAATGTGAAAGTGAGCTGTTTCTCACAAGGACAACAACTCTGTGTGGTTTGCTTCAGGGAGAAGAATCAGGGATTTATATATTCAATTATTTTCTAAAGGAACTTTAGAGAGACAAGCTAATGGTAACATCAAATGTATCAGTTTCCTATCCACCTAGAATATTATCTGTAGAAGTCTGTATAATTCACTCCTCTGATTTCCAGCTGAACTGCCCATTATCATTAAAAAATCAATTCTGGTTTCCATGATTTATTGAAGGGAAGGACATTGCAGTGTTACATATAGCTGTAACTTTTATTGAATCTCATATGGCAATGTTTTTCTCTCTGGCTACCACGGAGATGGTCAATTTTTTTCTTGAGTTCAAGAAGTTCAAGTCATTAAATAGTGTTGGGACTCTGAGCTTTAATCCTTAAACTATCACCTCCTATTTGGATTGGTGCAATAGTATCTTCCCTTGTCTTACTTCCTCTAAGCTCTTTTTACTCCATTCCTTATTTATGAGAATATTATTTTCCTAAAGGACAAATCTGACCACATAACTAGAGAACTTAGTGTATCTTAAGATTCAGATACCATAATGTGGCGTAGGAAATTTTTCAGTATCTTACTTTTTCAGTTTCATTATTCATTACTCTCCTTCCATCCATCACACATTTCAGCCTGTCCCTTGACTGTGCTATCAGCTTTCTTGCATTCATTTCTTAATACATAATTCTTTTCTTAAACTAATAGACTTTCTATATTGTAGAAATTTTAGGTTTATAGAAAAATTGAGTAAAAAGCACAGAGTTCCTATATACCCACCTCTTAGCACTTTCCCCTGCTCTTAACATCTTTCATCAGTATGGTACATGTGTTACAAGTGATGGAACAAATATTGATGCATTATTATTAAAGTCCATAGTTTACATTGGGGTTCATTCCTTTTGTATATTCCATGGGTTTTGACAAATATATAATGAAATGTGTATATCATTACAGTATCATATTGAATAGTTTTACTGCCCTATAAATGTTCTTTCCCACCTATTCCTTTCTGTCTTTCCCCAAGCTCCTGGCAACCACTGATCTTTCTATGGTCTCCAAGTTTTGTCTTTTCCAGAATGCTATACAGTTGAAATCATACAATGTATAGGCTTTTCAGATTGGCTTCTTTCACCCAGCAATATGCATTTAAAGTTCCTTCATGTCTTCTTGTTGGCTGATATTGCTTTTATTATTGAATAATATTCTATTATATGGATGTGCCACAGTTTGTTTATCCGTTTACCTACTGAGGGACTTCTTGGTTGCTTTCAGGTTTTGGGAATTATAAACAAAGCTGCCATAAACATTCATGTGCAGATTTTAGTGAAAACATATGTCTCATATCAGTTGGGTAGATACCAAGAAGCATGACTGCTGGCTTGTAGAGTAAGAGTATATTTAGCTTTGTAAGAAGCTGCCAAATTGTCCCCTAATGTAACTATATCATTTTGTATTCCCACTAGCAATGAATGAGCATTCCTGTTGCTCCATATTCACACCAGCATTTGGTGTTGTCAGTGTCTTGGATTGTAGTCATTGTAATAGGTGTGTAGTGGTATCTCATTATTGTTTAAATTTGAGATTCCCTAATGACCTATGATGTTGAGTTTCTTTTTATATGCTTATTTATCAACTGAGTGCCTTGTTTGGTGAGGTGTCTGCTCAGATCTTTTGCCCATTTTTCAGTTGGGTTGTTTGTTTTCCTATTATTGAGTGTTCAGAATTAGACATATGTTTTAGAAGTACGTTCTCTCAGTCTATGGCTTGTTTTTTCATTTTCTTCTTTTTTTTTTCAGAGCAGAAGTTTTAAATTTTAATCAAGTCAAAATTGTCAATTTTTTCTGTCTATGAATCAGGCTTTTTGGTCTTTTATCTAAAAAGTCATCACAAAACCCAAGATCACCTAGAATTTCTCCTATGTTGTCTTTTGGGGGTTTTGTAATTTTGTTTCTTACATCTAGGTCTGTGATCCATTTTAAGCTAATTTTTGTGAAAGTTATAAGATCGGTATCTAGATTCTATTTTTTTAAAAATTAATGCCTAGTTGTTCCGGTACAATTTGTTAAAAAGACTATCCTTTCTCCATTGACTTGTCTTTGCTCTCTTTTGTATTCTTTGATCTTTGGATCAGTTGACTGTACTGTTTAGGTCTACCTCTGGGATCTCTGTTCTGTTCCATTGATCTACTTGTCTATTTTTTCACCAATACAACACTATATTGATTACCGTTACTTTATTAGTAAGCCTTAAAGTTGGACAGTATCAGTTCTCCTTCAATATTGTGTTGGTTTAGTACATGTTTTCAGTTCAATAAGTTTTTCCTCTAAGATAAATTCTCTTGTTGGATAAATAATGTTAAATGTAATAATAATAGTAATATTTAATATTTCTTAAACAAATACTATATGCTAATACCTGTGCTAAATTTTCATCATGATTTATCTCATTTAATCCTCTAAAAACTGTAAATGACAGGCAGCATTGTTTTGTCTATCTCTCTATGTTTCTATCTTTTTCTTCCATTATTGACACTCAAGTATCTTGCCTGAGGGAATATAGACCACTAAATGAAAGTGCTTCCACTGGGACTCTGGATCCATAACCTTAGCCAGCACCATACCATCTCCCATATTGACAGATATACATGTAGCTATACACACACATCTATATATGTGTGTGTGTGTTTGTCTGTGTATATTTATAACAGACTCCAGATGGGTAGAGAGAGAAATAGATATTATCTAGACCAGAGCCAAGATTCTGGTTTCAAACTGCTATAGGGCTGGAGGAAAAACAGAAAACAAAGCTTAATTCCTCCCACATTGACTGCCAGGTGTTAATCCGCCTGCAAGCGCCTTCACAGTCACTTTTGCTTTTCTTATGTCTCTTCTAATTACCCTTGGTGGACAGCAATTTCTAAATGGCGATTACATTAATATAATAATTTGTAGTCTTATGTAGTTTCCTCTCTTCTAGCGAAATGCCACTACTCATTCGATTGCTGTCTCCTATACCTAACTGCAGAAGAGTATTGCCTCCAGAGTGAACTATGGTTTTTGGTTGCCTTCAAAGATAATTAGGTGGGCCTCCATGTTTTAAGCATTTCATTGCAGTGTGTGAAAATAAATAGGGGCTACATGAGGGAATTACAGAGCTTCAATTATTAAGTCCTTGTAGTTATGAACTGGCTCCGTGTCATTCATAATTCTTTTTTTGTCTCCATCTTTTGGTGGGGAACTTGTTTTCCAGGCTGTTTGTTTCCAAATGACTTCTTTTCTCAATGGAAGATAGAATCCAGGCAAAGTAAGAGTCCCTTACTCCCGGCCACCACCTCCCAAAGGAATAATGTGCATCTTTAAAGAGTTTTGTCATTTGAGAGGCTGAGGCAGAAGGGTGGTTTGAGCCCAGGATTTCGAGACCAGTTTGAGCAACATAGTGCAAGACCCCATCTCAACAAGAAAATAAAAAAAATCAGTCAAGCATGGTGGTGTGCCTCTGTAGTCCTAGCTACTCTGAAGGCTGAGGCAAGAGGGTCACTTGAGCCCAGGAGTTTCAGGTTATAGTGATTGCACCACTGGCCACTGCATCTCATGGCTGCAGAATGAGACCCTGTCACAAACAAACAAACAAAAACCCACAAAAGACTCTTGTGGAAGACATCCAGTTTACTAGACTTCTGTCCTACCCAGAAATGATCCTCTCTGGGTTTTCTTCACACCTAGACATTAATTGCCTGTTTCTAGTTACATACTATAATAAGAGCTGCTTACCTACTTCATGTCTGATACCTGCCAGGCATCATATGGGGTACTTTACAAACGTAATAATCATAGTAACCCTACGAGATGGATATAAATATATTCCCTTTTGTAGATGAGAAAGTAAGACTCAAAGATTTTTAGGAATATATAGAAGGTTGAGAAAGAGCAGATTGTTTTATAACCCTAATTGGCCTGACTCTATTGCTCATGTTAAATTCTGATCTTTATCTCCAGACTCATTTCTTATTGCATCATGTGCTGCCCTCTGACTGTAAGAATGATTTTAATAACCTGCAGTTGCCAGACTGATGGAGCAACATCCTATGGTTCATTTCTCCTTGTGGCTAGCAATACATATTTGAGAAATAGCTTATCTTAGTGACTGATACAGGAAACAGAGTGAATCTAATTAGGTTTTATGAAGCCAGAGACTTGAAACCTTGGCTTCAGGGACAGCAATATTTAAATGGATGAACTAAGTAAGAAATCAGACTAGTATTGAGCCATTTAGTAACTTACTTACGTATCTTAAATTAGTGACTTGAAAGATGAGTTAGTTACTCTCATTTTACCCCTCTTTGAAATTCTAAATAGCTTGAAAGATTTACATAGCTTCCAACTAAACCAGAGGATAATTGGTGTTTTGGGAGAATTTAACATCCTCTACCTAACTGTGCTTCAAGTTTGTAAAATTATTGGATTGGTACAGAATTTTTTGAATACCATCCATAGAGCAAAAATGATTCTAAGCCTTTTCATATTTGTAATGCTAAAACTGTTTTCTGTGTCAAATTTGACTGCAAATCCATGATGGGATATGCCTCTGATATGGTATATGATACTTTGGTCTTAGTAAACAATTTTTCCATGAACAAAAATGAGTTAGTTGTTAGTTTAATATTAGATTTGAAAGTTTTTATGCGTGCTTTTTTATTTATAAGGCAAATCCTTTTCCTCCTACCATCACATCTCCCTTCTTTCTCTACTGACCTAAGAATACTTCTCCATGAACCAAGAAGGCTGTCTAGAAAATGGGTCACTGATGCGTGTTAAAAACGTGTGTACACATTAATTTCAGATTTTTTGGAGCACCTTTCTTATGCTTGTAATTCATAATCTCATTCAGGTTTATTCTCAGATTTCAATATAACATATTCTGAATTGCTTATTCAAGGTACAAGTATGTCCAGGGCTACTTCTTTGAATTCTAGTCTCTTCATCCTTCTTATACATTCATAATATATAAGATCAGTAAATGCTGCCAAGTCAACAGAAACTTAAAGGTTAAACCTGCCACATCTCTGCAACATATTAAGGCAATTCTCCAAAGGCTAATGTTTATTAATGACCACTTTGAACCTGAATTCTATGAGAAATAAGTAGGTGTTTCAAGATTGCTTTTATAAATGCATTTGTTTTTTGCACCATCCATTGTAGGCAATCTGCATTGACTATTTGGTCACATCTGTTTGAAATCTAGATGCTGTGTTACATCTTTGCATCTGTGCCTTTGTTGTTGTAGAGGTCACAGTTATTCTGGTAGAACTAGTGAAAAAACTCTAAGTATTTCACTTCTATTTAAGTTTGAAGTTTGGAGGGCGAGAGGGGCAGATGTGTGGGTTATAAAACTGTTTCATTTCTTCTGATTTGAGATAATCAGAACTAATTCAAGCTTAGTTTACAAGTGTTATAATGCTTTTTGGGTTATGGCTGTTGTATTAGTCTGTTCTCATGTTGCTATTATAATAAAGACATACCTGAGACTGGGTAATTTGTAAAGGAAAGGGGTTTAATGGACTCACAGTTCTACATGGCTGGGGAAGCCTCATAATCATGGCGGAAGGCAAAGGAAAAGCAAAGGCAAACTCCCCTTTATAAAACCATCAGATCTCATGAGACCTATTCACTATCACGAGAACAGCATGGGAAAGATCCGCCCCCATGATTCAGTTAGCTCCCATTGGGTCCCTCCCACAACATGGGGATTTATGGGAGCTACAGTTCAAGATGAGATTTGGGTGGGGACACAGCCAAATGATATCAGCTGTCAAAAACTGCATGTGCAAAAATATGAAGTTTAAATAGGTAGTCTAAAAAGCCTTAAAACATTATAATAATTAATTAGAGCAGTATTTCCCAAAGTTCACACATTCAAGTTCTACTTTTGTGAGTCTGCTCGTGTGTGCTTATTATCTGCAGATGATTTATTTTTATTTTCATCGAATTGACTCAGTAAACCTGAATACCTAGTTTAGTCTTCACTGAAGCAATAATAACAATGAGATCACAACTTTGTGGTGATAGTTATTTATATTTCAAATACATGTTAAAATAAATACATAGCTATTAGACTAAAACAAGTTCTGAATAAACTAAATCATCCCTTATAACCCCTGATCTGCATACCACATCCAGAGACTCACTAGATTCATGATTACTTTGGGGCCTGAACTGAAGATATTCATTTTTTTAATTTTTGAAATTTTCATAACTTCCCACACTACACCAATGTTAGGAGGACATTCTTAATAGGAAAAGAATAGAGCCTTGCAGCATGGGTCGTACATTTTGGAGATCCTCCACTTTGGACATAAAGTAGAGGATGCAGAACAATTTTAAAACTCTTCTTGTTGGTGACCACAGTTCAGAAGTGTTTTAGCAGTGAGTGTTATCAGAAATGCAAAACTTAATAGATACATACAGCAGGAGGAAAGTGCTAATCAACCATCACCAACTCTGCTTCCGTCTTCTGAGAAATGCAGATGTGTAATTTTCTAAATCTGGGGAAGGTTTCTTACTGTTGCCGCATGGGGAGCTATGAAAGTTGTGACATTTCCATGCCTCTGTTGTTGTAGCTGCTCATTTGCATTTTATCTTTGCCATGCTGACATCCAAATCACAGTTTTGATGTGATGCTTTTGGCAGCTGTTCAGAGAGACTGTCCAGAGAAAACAGCAGGTAACTCAGACCATTTGTGAAAAATGTTAGGTGTGATACTTATGCTCTCAAAGGGACAGGTAAGAATGAACCCAAATGCCAACTCCTCTTCATGGAGGGAAAAAAGAAATCAATAGATAGCTTTTTTTTTTTTTCTGGAAACTTCGGGAAGTTTATTGCTTTTCAAACAATGAAGATTACTGTGTTCCTATTTATGAAACAAGATAGGAATGAGAGGAATGGTGGGGACTGTTGGGAAGTGAAACTCCACTTGATACTTCCCAATTCTGTGCCTTCTCAGGTCCCTGAGCAAAATGGGAAATGGTTCAGTGAAACCTAAACATTCTAAGCACCCAGATGGACACTCTGGGAACCTCACCACTGATGCTCTGCGGAACAAGGTGACAGAGCTGGAGAGAGAGTTGAGGAGGAAGGATGCTGAGATCCAGGAGCGGGAGTACCATTTGAAGGAGCTGCGGGAGCAGCTGTCGAAGCAGACTGTGGCCATTGCTGAACTCACAGAGGAGCTCCAGAACAAGTGCATCCAGCTGAACAAGCTGCAGGATGTGGTGCATATGCAGGGAGGAAGCCCGCTTCAGGCCTCTCCAGATAAAGTGCCTCTTGAGGTCCACCGGAAGACCTCTGGATTGGTCTCTCTCCATAGCAGGAGGGGAGCAAAGGCTGGCGTGTCTGCTGAGCCAACAACCCGGACCTATGACCTGAACAAACCCCCTGAATTTTCCTTTGAGAAAGCAAGAGTCAGAAAAGACTCCAGGTAAGAAATTTCCGCATCCTTTAAACTCAGATGGGCTTAATATTGTGAAATATGAGAGTGACATTTATTAAGCCTCCTTAATGATAAAGAACATATTGACCCTTTCAGATTTTGGGGTAGAGGGGTTTTTGAAATGATTTTGTTTTGCAAAAAAATCTCCCATTGGGCAGAAGTTTAAAGTAGAAATTGTACTATATATATCTCTCATGAGGAGCTCAGTTTACTGACAATTATTTCTATTACCTTGAAAACCCTAGGGGTGTGAAATAGTATTAGAAAGTGTACACTTCTTTTTCTAGAGGAGTGAACTTAAAAATGTACACACATCACAGTGAATTGTGACTATGTTAGCCAAAAAAAAAAAAAAGAGAGTCACATTTTAGTAGTCTTCAAGTGTCATGGAAAAGGAACATGCTGGAGCCTCAAAGATGAATTCATTCATTCATTCCAGTTTATGGTGGTCTCTACTCTCTGCCAGCCACTGTGTTAGATGCTAAGTATGCCTCAGTGAATAGAAACAGAGCCTTTCTAGCAGGGGCGGTAAACAGTATACACAGAAACAAGTCAGCAATGTGTAATTATTAATTGGAATCAATAATATGATAAAAGCCAATACTATAGCAGGTGGTATCTGGAGTGAAGGGAAAGGAGGTCAGGGAGACAACAGAAGCAGGCTTGTCATGAAGGCCTGGCTGAGGAAGTGACCTTTAACAGACTTCAAGGAGCATGAACCAGGCAGGAAGAGGATTTCAGGCAGAGGGAACAATTAAAAGCTAGAATTACTTTTAAAAATTTGAGTTTTTAAAAGAACATATAAATACTTGCCTCTGCATTCATGTATAGGGGTGTGTGTGTGTGTGCGCACACATGTGTGTGTATGCATTTCTTTATGGGCGAAAGTTTGATTTTCTGGGTCAGGGAAGACTCATTAGAAACATCATTAGTTAGGGTTCCCTTCCCTTACTATTTTTAACTGAGTATTTATTAATTGAAATTAAATCTTTTGCCTCGATAATGCCTTGGTCGAGCCTGAATCTCTATTGCAAAATGCAAGATTTGTGAAATTAAAACAAATTTTAACATTCACAAATGTAAGTATTATAAATTAAGATAAAACATCTGACCCAGACAAACAAATGATCAATTTTAACAACAGAATTATAAAGGGAGGTTTAATTAATCAATTTGTTGACAGTACTGGAAGCATAGTGAATGATCAATAAATATTTGTGAAGGAAGTTAGTGATGCCAGATTATTAATTATAATATCCTGTGACTGAAAGAAATTTGATTAATATTGGATTTCAGCAGTTTTATTAAGTCAAAATTTTTATTAGTCTAAAAATTTCTCATCTATTTCCTTTCAAAAGTAATAATCATTTTTAATGGTATGAATTCTGAAATTATAGATGGCACAAACTTATATTTGTTTTAAAAAACTGAACATCATCCAGTGTTCTCTTCTGTTAGAGATATATGAACTCTACATAGTATATGTATATATATACATATATAATAATATTACAGAATGTGCATTACATTACTATATATGTACACGTAAGTATAATCTATTATTTACTCACAAAAATGTTACAAATAGCAATGTACTTTTTTATGCAGAATGACATGTAAGAGAATTTAGTAGCAATTCATCTCCTTTGACCTTCTCCCTATATATGACACCAGATGTATTCTCTTGAACCAAGATTATGTTCAATTACTTTGTTCAAAGACTTATGCTCATCTTGAGGCAAAACACCATGCTCCTGGTGCTGAAAAATCTGAGATAAGCGTATTTCCTTGCTTTTATTTAAGGATAAATTATTAGCTCTGCTATAATCAGGCAAAAAAAAAATCAGTAGTTATATACACTTTCTGTGCCAAACCAGACTTCTTTCTGTCTGTCTATAGTGAATGGGACACAGGAAGGATATTGTATCTCCTGAATAAGGATTATTGATTATTCTCCTCACCATAAAGGCAAGCCAAGTGGATACAAGTCTGTGTTGTGGTCAGGATAAAGAAATGGGCTAATTGATTTCTTAATGATTAAGTCCTAAAGAGACAAAAACTGTATCATCCATGCCCTAACAATCCTCATCTGCTTTCACAGAGCCTTGTGGTTCTAAATTGAATAATTAAATAAAAAATGGAAACATTCTTTTTTAGTTGACTGGTTTGTACCTCAGTTTCCCTTGCAAAAAGTACAGATACCTCCTTAAGTCTGAAATAACTAGCTAAACACAAATAGTTAACTTTATAAATTCAGAAATTTAAAATTTTTCAATTTTTCAAAAGTGCTCAATATTACAATTCATTTTCCATTTGCAAATCATTTCAGTATTGGATAAAAGCCAAAAGTAAACTTTGGATATTTTTATATCTCTTTTATATTATACAGCCTGTCAAAAATTTGTAAGAAACAATTTTCCAGAAGTTAGAGCATTAAAAGGATAGACATGTCCTTCACTGATGAAAGGATGATGTACAGTATACATTAGTTTGTCTACTTTTCCAAGCAGTTCCTGCTAGATATCAGAGATTTTAAGATCATCAGTCATAATGGCTCTTCTGTTTATTTTTTGGTTCTCCTAATTTATTTGTTGGACTTTTATAAAGTATCCTGGCTGAATTTATGGCTAAATCTGTTTCTATTAATATACACATCAACTACATTTTGGACAATGTTCACCCTTCCATACTGGATCAGAAAGCCACTGAATGTCTCTTCAGTTTTTTTGTCTAAGAGAGTATTTCTGATGAACACTTAACAGTGAGCAAGAAACTGAGGGGAGACTCCTAGCTCTCCTTCAGTCAACAATATTAGGGAGATATGAAGCACCCATAGAAGCCAGAGAATAAAATTTGATGGCATGATAGATTCTGAATTTGAATATTCAGTTCCTATAATTCATGACACAGTATTCTATGATTTTGCTAAGGTACCTGTGCTTAGATATATCATAAGTGGTGAGTGAGCCTCTTCAATTGCTAGGCACCACCAGCTCATGCCAGCTTTATTGTCCTGTACCCATCAAATATACTTTTATGGTCTGAAGGTGTAACTTAATTTGTCTAATTGTACCTCCCTACTTTATATGGAGGAGCTCATAATGAAACTCTACTGGCATTAGGGAATTCTGGAAATTTGTTTCTTTCTAATTTCAAGGATCTGCATTTTAATTTCAGGTTCTAGATTCAGTGCTGTCCAGTAGAACTTTCTTCAGTGATGGAAGTATTCTATAATCCATGCTTTACGATATGGTAGCCAATAGCCAAATATGGCTATTGAGCACTTGAAATGCAGCTAGTGCCACTAAGAAACTGGATTTTTAACTTATTTTCTTACAAAGAAGCTTGAATCTGATGGATTTTTATTTTTAATTAATTTAAACATTGAATAGTCACATGTCTATTGCCTACTCTACTGAATACTGCAGTTCTAATGGTTTTGACTGTAACTGCTATTGCCTAAGATGGGAATTATGACTTAGTTTGGGAACCCTTTGTAGACAAAGTGAGACCTATGTTCAGTTTTAGGACAACGCCACAGAAAATGAGTCTATGCCTGTGAGATTGAGGTGGGCACAATGTGGAGTCACTCGTCAGCTGCACCCAACCTGCAGTATATCATAGCTCTTTGTAGGGACCTGGCTTTGTGCCTACTGACCATTTTAGATCATCAAAACCATGCAGCATGCAGTGGGCATGTAGCCTGTTTCTATAACAGGCACTCAGCTTTATTGAAGTATTATAAATTTCATGATGAATCAGGGTACTACAATGTGTCAAATACTCTGATCTCTGACTTAAATTTAATATGTTGAACATCAGAAGACCTTGGAGCCATAGGAACCTTACAGATTGTTTGATGCTACCCCCCTTACTAGAGAAGTAAGGACACAGGTACTGGGGAGTTATGGAATATACCGTGGTTGGTGGCAGAGCTAAGATTAGAATCCAAGACTCTTGAAATCAGGATCAGTTCTTTTCGTCTTAAGTCCTACTCTAGTGTTGTAAGAACTACCCACAAATGTGAAAGGCCTTGATTAGACCAGCCTGGGCACCAGTCTGCCTTATTACAGTGTGCCCCATTGATTGATAGTAAGAGTGGTGGTGCTTCCTGGAGCTTCCTAGCTTCATCCATGTGGAGTTGAGCAGAGGTGGCCCATTGCATCGATGCCTACTAAGTTCTGGATCCTTAGAGCTGAGGTCTGTGAGAAAAGGACATTGCGAATGGGTTTGATCCACCTGATGGCAGCAACTGTGGCATATATGGAGGGTCACATATGGGTTCCTGAATAATTACAGTGCTTCTCAAGGCTGAGAACTGAATATCACTGGCAGAGAGGGCAGGGAAGAGCTCACATAGCATTTCTGCCCATGTCTGGTCTGCCTTGAGCACCAAGACAACCATGCATTCAGATGTCAGACCTTTTACTGAGATTAAGTTTTTCTTTTCTGTTTATGTAGATATTGTTTAGAAAACTTCATCAGAGCAAAAATAGGAGCTCATGCTGAATGTCTGGTGGAACACAGGCAAATTAATCAGAGACATCTGGCAAGTTGCTGGTATGACTGCATTTTGCTAGGGATGCTTAAACTATCATTTGAAACTATTGTTCTTTCATGAAAAGGAAAGATAAAACAAAGACTTGCCATCTGACTTCAGATTTGACTCCAGTTTTAGGAAGGACAATTCATTTTATCTGTCACTCCCACCACAGGAGCAGAATAGGTAAAAGAAGAAAATGCTAGTGAGTCATACGTTTAAATAAGATGTGGAAAAGGACTGTGGAAGAATATGTTTGTTTTTATTTGCTTCCTTTCCAAAGCAGTACTGAGCATTTGAGGATGTGCACTACAGAACATGTTTTCTTTATTGAAGAGGAATGTTTCCATGGGAAAAAATATTTATATACCACTAATTATGTGCCAGTCACCACTCTGAATGCCTCGCAAATACTGAATCATTTAATCCTCACAATAAACCTATAAGATAGATATTATTAATCACTCCCATTTTATATATGAGAAAACTGAGGCACACAGAATTATATAACCTGCCAAAGGTTATGTAGAGTGTAATATAGGAAACAGAATTCAAAATCAGAAAACCCGCTGTCCAGATTCTGCTCTATTCATTCCTATAGATAATTTTTTCAAGATAACAATCAGAGGTGGACTCTTGACCTTTTTATTGGAAGGCCTTATTTAAAAATTACATATATAATCAGAAATAATTTTTTTTAAATGCAATGATTAGAAAAATCTCCCTGCTATTGTTATTTTTCCCTGAAAATGATTCTTCCAGAAAGTGCTACTCTATTAGCAGTTTGCAGGAGTGGGAACTTTTGCTGGGGAGGAAACATCCCTTTTTTCCCTTCCATGAAATACTGACTTACATGTTGCCATATGAGAGGCTCTATACCTAGATTTTACATAGATAATTAAAGATTTTTAAGAGTGTATATACAGGCTTTTACCAGTTGGACAGTTACAAAATTGGTATATATTCTCATAAATACTATTGTCTTAACCCGGGTCTTTAGAAAAGCAAAAATTGAAGCTGTCTATATAGGATAAGGCATGGAAGAAGAAAAATAATCCAGTTTTGTGGTGATCTGATACCAAGAATCTATGGTGAAGGTAACTGGGTGATATATCTGGTGAAAGTTGTCAGTATGCTTGAAAACAAAAGGTTATATTTCATAGTGATAGACAATGTGCATGTAGACACTCAGATCAAAACTAGCTACTCAGCGATGGGATGAAAAAACTAAGTTATTGGTTGGCTATTACATATCTGTCATTCTCCATAATTAACTCATGAAGGCCTCAGACTTGCCTAATGAGGCATCAGTTTTTTGTTTTACTGAAGGTGAAATTAAAGCTTGGGGTCATTCAACTTGCTCCAGGTTGTAATGTTTATATATTTTTGGAAACAGTTTTCCAGTTTGAGTCTGCTTGATGTCAAATGTGTATTCTCTACCACAATGTGCACAACATTTATAGCCTGTGCAGCCTACAGTGTGAGTGGCTTCCCTTGGGGTTGTATAACCAGGCTGGGGGCTATTTTTGTGGGGGTGAGGTAGGGTGGGTGGTACCGTTAAGCTCCAAAAAAAGGAAGAGGTAAAAAGCATGGAGGAATTTAGGAGCCTGACTGGAATTAAGTGGCAGCTGCCTTGACATCTAGATGAAGTTAAATAAGCTTTGGCAGCCGGTTTGAGTCCTGGCACCCAGCCAGTCTCCCTTTGTGCCTCTGTCTTTTCTTTTCTCTAGGAGCCAATGAGCTCTGGGCTCTGCTCACTCTGCTTCCCCACCTCAGCCCTCTCAGCCTCTCAAATGGTCTTCTTCTTAGTTGATATCTGCCCTTTAGTCCTTCTCACTTTATCCTTAAAACTTCTAGTCTTAGTTGCTAGGCGTTAGGAAAAATATTTAATGAAGCCTTGGAAAACACTGAGGATTTGAAGGCTAATTGTTTTGAGTAGTCAAAGGTCTAAGAGCTCACTGTTAGCACTGTGCTGACTCTGAGGAGCCTACCCTCGCCTTGTGGGCTACATTCCTAAGGGGATGCACAATGCTATTTTTACACTACACAAAAACCATGGCACTTTTGGACCCAGTACCTAGCCTTGGCTGAGCAGCTTTAATGTCCAAGTTTCCCTTTACTCCTTCAGATTAATACATCCAATGCAATAAATATTTATTGAATATTGAATCAATGAATCCAATTCTTTAATATTTTCTTCCACGTTTGCTTCCCTTTTCCTTATTTCATGTTGTCTTCCCTCCTTCATTTTTTTTTCACTAATTCTTTAATTTGGTTTCTTCCTAATCTTCTCTCATTCTCAATATCTGACTAGTCAATGGCCAATACTACCAATTTTGAGTATCTTATTTGGTACACTCTGCTATGACCTATCTATAGTTATCTCACTTATTTTCACAGTTAACCTATCTGGTAAGTATTATTATATGAGGCTTATTAAGAGTAAGTAACTAGCCCATGGTTATCACTAGTAGTGGCTAAGGCTTCTATAAACTCACCTAGATGTTAAAACATCTGCCTCTTAATCACAACAACTCTGAAATCTATTCTCATTTTATTTCGCTTGCTATTGTTTTAATTTATGTAGGATATTTATAGCAGTTTCTGGATCTGCTTGGTTCCAAATTGGTTATTCCAGGTGAGTTTGAGCAGTGCTGGCTTTTAACAAGGGTCCTGGTTGCCTGGGCAGGAGCCTTCACCTCTTCTCCCTTACATTTTCTAAATGTCCTCTGAAATGGGTGGCTCCTTTTGACCCTTTTTTTTTCTTTTCTCAAAAACATTCTGGACACTGCCCATTCCTTGCTAGATACCCAGGAAGGACTGTAGTAGAAATAGCGTCATTGAGAAGACAGTGGACAGTGGTCTTTCTTTTTCTTGCTTGCTGGATAAGAGAGAAACATCACCACTGGCCTTTGCCTCCTAGTGAGCAGCATTCAGTTTCCACAGAACCTCCCTTTTCTTTCCATAAGCCTGAGCAGCTCAGCTCCTGTCGCCTCTTTCTAGAGTTTAAATTGCAATACAATTCTCAAGAAGGGGAACAGATCTGAAGACAAGGATGAAACGTTTCGATTTTCAGACACTTTGGAAGTCCGTTCTTTGTGAAAGGTACATTTCTTGTATCTATCCTTTAACTAAAAGTGTTTCTTTTCATTAAAGTCTCACTTTAAAATGATTTGTCTTCTTTCTGCTGACTCTCCCTAGAGGTATTTGTTAGTTGTAGATTTTAAAGTGCAGTTATGTGTGACAGGTTTCTTTCTTTCTTTCTTTCTTTTTTGAGATCTATAGCCAGGAATGGCCAGAGAATATTTTATATTTTATATATATTTTATAATAAAATGCGAGTCATCAGGGTCCCCCAACATCTGTTTAATCCTTCTTGGGTTATTTGTGATGCCAAATCAATTTTAATTGGTAAATTTCAAGCAGGTGTTTAAATGGTCTTTTTGGGGCTTACAGATTAAGCTCTGGGAAATATGAGAGAAAGAAAGACCTAGAGCTTCCAGTTCCCTCTTTCCAGGTGAGATGAGGAAAGAGGAAGTACAAGTGAGAAGAACAAGATACAACTTGAAATTTCTTGTCAACAGAAACTCAGGAAATGCAAGCATATTGGTTTTCTATTGCTGTGCAATAAATTACCACAAACTTAGTAGCTTAAACAACACATATTTGCTATCTCAGTTTGCAGTGGGCCAAGAGTCCAGGTGTGACTTATTTAAGTCATCTTCTCTGACGTCAGCCACAAGGCTGCAGTCAAAGGGTCAACTGGCCGTGTTCATTTCTAGAGCTTTCTACAGGAAGAGGTCCTCTTCCCAGCTTACGTGATTGTTGGCCAAATTCAATTCCTTGTGGTTGTAGGGCTGAGGTCCCCATTTTCTTGCTAGCTGTCAGCTGGGGCTGCTCTCAGCTCCTAGAGGCTGCCTAGAGTTCCTGCCTTGCGTCCCTCTCACAGGCCCTCTCATAGCATGGCAGCTTACTTCTTCAGACTCAGCTGGATAAGCCCTTTACAGTTAACTAAGATGAAGTCTTATATAACCTACCCAGGAATGGCCTTCCGTCATCATTGCTGTGTTTTGTTGATGAGGAGCAAGTCACAGGTCCTCACTCCTCATTCACCAAGCCTTTTGCTTCTCTGGTGTGAGATTCCTGTTTAGGAATATTGGCTATGCCGGGTAGGTAAAGCCATGCATAAAAAATCTTGTACATCCATGCTTATAGCAGTGTTATTCATAGTAGCCAAAAAGCAGAAACAACCCCGTGTCCGTCAACAGATGAATGGAGAAACAAAATGTAGTATATACATGCAATGGGATATTATTCAGCCTTACAGAGGAACTCTGACACATACTACAGCAGGAATGAAGCTTGCAGACATTAGCCAGACTTAAAAAGACAAATGCAGGATTCCATTTATATGAGGTACCTCGAATCGTCAAATTCATCGAGACAGAAATTAGAATGGAGATTGCCAGGAGCAGGAGGGGTGAGGAGACCCAGGGAATATATAATAGGTACAGAGTTCCAGTTTGGGAAGATTCTGGAGATAGATGGTGGTGATGGTTGTAAAACAATGAGAATATACTTATTGCTACTAAACTGTTCACTTATAAATGGTTAAAATGATACATTTTATGTTATGTATATTTTATTAAAATTAAAAAAAAGTTCACACACTGAGGCTAACTTGACAGCATGTTTCTAGGTGCCAGGCCACGTTTCAGGTTCCAGACAGAATGCTGGGAGGAGGGAGAGGAGAGTAGGGATTTTCTCACTTGTGTATTATATTGCAGAAGAGAACAAGCTATGTCAAATTCTTGTAACAAACATTAATTGATCATTGTTAATCAATACTTGTTAATTACCTAATTGATTGATTAATTGATGAGCCTTCAGTAGAGCATGTTCCTAGTGCTGTGGAAATATAGAGGGAAGGGACAACTTCAACTCTCTTCCATGTTGTTGTTTACAGCTGTAATCCTTAATCTTAAGTTTACATTGTAATCACCTGTAATAAGAAGTACTGATGCCTGGGTCTAACCCCCAGGTATTCTAACTAAATTGATTTGAGGCAAGAGCCCTGGGCATATGGATTATAGGTGCGTATATATATATATGTATATTAAAAGCTCCCCTGCTGATTCTCATATGAAGCCACCATTGAGGAGCATTGTGTTATAGGAGCAGGTTTCCCTGCCGCTGACTCCTCAACTACTTGGTTTGAAGATTTAAGAGCAGTACTAATTAGAGACATTTAAAGGAACTGTTTGCCTTTTATACCTAATTACCATGCAACACAATGATAATTATGCCTGTCATTGAGTGTGTCAGATAAACTTCTTTGTAAGTTTTGATTGTTTTCAACATTTCATTGTTAAACCCTGCTCTTTGATGCTCATGGGAATAAAATCATCTACACAAACTTAAGGAAGAGAGAGAGAGAAATGTTTTGTTGTGAGCATGAAATAACAGCCAACAGAATTAAATTACAACTGTATTTAATTATATGGGCAATAAGTAAAAGAATTGAGAGAAGAAAGTCATGCTTATTTTATGACATCCATGGGATGACCTCATTTTTGTCACGCTAGTTTCTCAAATTATAAACTTGTGCATTTATTAGGTTTTTTTTTTTTTGGTTCATCACTCAAAAACAATTATCTGGGGATGGGGAAGAAAATAGAGATGCGTATCCTGTTTATTAAATGTGCCTTGTTTATTAGGGTGACTGACGTTTTCCAACTCCACTCTTGTCCCTGTACCCATAATTTTTAAATTGGGAGAAAGAATTTGAATGTCCTTTGGGTTTCTTAATTTTGTCAAGTTTCTAATATGTGCAAAATACAGTTCTAGGTATTAAGTAATAAGAAAAACACAGTCATACCCTTGAAGATCAGTGTCTCTTTGGGGAAATTATAATTTATGGGATTAA